>NW_011332697.1:0-86533 GCF_000001405.40 Homo sapiens
CAGTGACAACTACAGACCCTTTCCCCCAGAATAACACACACACATATGTGTATACCCAGCAAATGCTGAGAGTCCAGCCCAGACCAGGCACTGTGCCCAGCCCTGCAGGAGCAGGAGTCTACATGGCAGAGTGGGTCTGGGCCTCTGGGAGATGGCCTAGAACTTGCAGAGATTGCCAGGCATCATGGCTCACACCTGTAATCCAAGCAGTTTGGGAGGCTGAGGCAGGAGGATCCCTTGAGCCCGGGAGTTCAAGACCAGCCTGGGCAGCATAGCAAGACCCCATCTCTACAAAAAACTTAAAAAAAAAAAATCATCCGGGCATGGTGGCACATGCATATAGTCCCAGCTACTCAGGAGGCTGAGGCAGGGGGATCCTCTGAGACCAGGAAGTCGAGGCTGCAGTGAGCTATGATGACCACTACACCCCAGCCTGAGCAGCAAAGCAAGACTCTGTCTCTAAAAAAAATTATAAAAAGAACTTGGAAAAGCTGGTGCGGTGGCTCACGCCTGTAATCCTAGCACTCTGGGAAGGTGAGGCGGGCAGATCACCTGAGGTCAGGAGTTTGAGACCAGCCTGGCCAACATGGTGAAACATGGAGACATGGTGAAACCCTGTCTCTACCAAAAATACAAAAAATTAGCCAGGCATGGTGGTGTGCACCTGTAATCCCAGCACTCTGGGAGGCCGAGGTGGGCAGATAACCTGAGGTCAGGAGTTTGAGACCAGCCTGGCCCACATGGTGAAACCCCGTCTCTACTAAAAATACAAAAATTAGCCGGGCATGGTGGCGCGTGCCTGTAATCACAGCTACTTGGGAGGCTGAGGCAGGAGAATCACTTGAACCCAGGAGGCGGAGGTTGCAGTGAGCCAAGATTGCCCCACTGCACTCCAGCCTGGCAACAGAGTGAGACTCCATCTCAACAACAAAAACAAGAACTTGGAAAGGTGAACTTGAAACAATAATCACAAGTAATCACCCTAGCAATGAATCATAGATGGGAAGATTGATAACAGCAACTTCTGGTCCAGTCTGAATGAGTGGGGAGAGCCTAGGGTCCAAGGCAGCAGTGTAGGAAATGCTCCCGAGTTACCAGCCATTGGCATGTGATAGGGTCAGGCAGGGGCCAGGGGACACCGCGCTCCATAGCTCCAGGAAGAGTTTGGGTGTGAGGGTCTCCATAGGTCCTCAAACTCTCTGGAGTCCACGCTTGGGCCTCGGGTCTGGAACTGCTGGTCTGAACCACAAAGCCGCCCCCGCTCGGTTCCTTCCTTGGCTGACCTTCGGCCTCACGCCTGGCCTAACTTGCTCTCCTGGCCCATTAACCTGTGTTCCCCTTTTCTCCTCTCCCCAAGGATTTGGAAGGAGTGCCACCCTCTAAAAAGATGAAACTGGAGGCCTCTCAACAAAACTCCGAAGAGATGTAGACGATGCTTTAAAGCCTCCGATCCATGTTCCATGGAAGGTACATCAGCAATTAATTCTAGAGCAACTTTGCCCCAGCGATTCCTCTTGGGTGCGAACAGAACTACTAACGTTTCAAGTTTACCAAGTGCAAATCCAAGAAGACCCAGAACGGCGTCACTTCTCAGACACTGAAGAACTCTGCTGTGAAGCAAAACACTCAAACCTTTAAGGGACTGTCCTTGGGGAGGCAGGCGGGGCTGACAGCTCAGGAGTGTCTGCACACTGTCTCGGAAGCCAGGATTCCATTTGTGTTGCTGCTGTATTTTCCCCCCACTTCTCTATGTAACGATATAAGCTATCGGAGGGTGGTACCGATCAGGAACGCTTTTTGGCGGGGCTTTCCACTGTTCAACCGATTCCTTCCGCTTTCTTTTTTTGTGCCTTGTGCCCTTGAGGTGACCTCTGGCATGTATCCTGGTGGTTCTTACATCCCCCTCTGCAAAGTGCCCTCTTGGTTTGGTTCGGGCGGCGGCTGCCACCCTACTCACCGCTCTCCTCCCTGCCCCAGGACTTCATCGGAGCAGGCAGGGTGGAGCGAAGGAGCTCCTTAGCCCACCTGGTTTGCAGGTGCAGGGGGACCTTAGGCACGCCCCAAGCACCAGGCACCAGGGCCCAAGGACGCGCAGGTGTTGGGGCACAGTCCCCAAGGGCTCGGCCCCTTGGATCAGGCTGGGCACTCGCTGTGCTCTCCCCTCCTTGGGGCGTTTAGGACTGGGCGTCTCCAAGCCCACCATGGCCCAGATGGACGTGCAAAGCCCTTGGAATTTTCTGGCACTTCCTCTCTATTGCCCCCACCACCACCACCCCCATCACTGCTTTCTCCCAGACCTCCGAATACGAAATGGCTTCTCTGGCTGACTGCAAGGCTGTCTCCTTAAGGCACTGAGTGGGCCGGGGAGGCTGGGAGCCGGCGGCAGGATTAGCTGGTGCTGAACTTTCTCTCATAGGACGTCGCTTGGATTTCAAATCCACGGTCACCTGCTGCCCTTTGCCTCCCCCGACGCCCCAGCCTGTGCCCCGGAGAGGCAGGATCGCAGTGGTCAGAATCCACGTGCTTTCCTATTCTCAGGCTGTTCTGACTCTGAGCCAACAGCTGGACCGTGTCTCATCCCCAGAACATGCCGTCTGTCCCCACCGGGGAGTGGGCCTTGATGGCCGGGCCTCGAAGGCCACAAACAAGGCGTCGAGGAATTGGAAAGATTTGCACACCCTCCAGAAAGGAGAGACGCAATCTCCCCTCCCTCCCATCCCCCACCTTCGCTGGAACAGCTTCCTCTCACTGAACGGAGACGCCCCCTTGGACGAACTGCCTAATCGTTTGGTTCTGAGGCCTGGTTTGCTCTTAATTAATATATGAACTCCTCAGACCTTAAACCTTTTCCTAAGCTTTCTTTACTGCACTGGAGTTCTGACTCCCTTTGAGTTGTGTGTTACTGGGGGTGGGGTGGGGTCATGGGTTTTGTTGTTTTTGGGGGCTAATTGGTGCATATTCAGGTACCACCTTTGACGTGTGGCTCTTTCTCCTGACCATCATGGGAAGTGTCTGCTGGATTCCATTTTCTAAGAGTTTCTGAGGGTGAGGCTCTTATTTTTTTTTTTAAGGGATCCTGTCTATTTCCTGCACTTCGAGAAGAATCAAAATGTTCCTGAATTTCAAATACCTCATGCAAAATGTCTCCTGAAATAAGGGAAAAAAAAAAAACCACAACTTTGAAAATCTTAATGTTGAAGTTAGCAATGCCGAAAGGTTTCTGTCTTAAAAAAAAAAATCCTTGTACTTATCAATTTTGCCCCTTAGGCAGTCAGTTTTGTTGAGAACTGTGTCCTGCATCCTGGCGCAGAACCTACCTGATGCGGTTCCTCTCCACGCATCTCGAGGCGGCGTTACCTCCAGATTCCGTAGAGTTAGAGTCACATTTTTCTTTGCAGCGAAACTCCATCTTGGTGAGAGATGAATTTGGATATTTATTTCCTTCTCTGTTTTTGGGAAACGAGAGGCTACAACCAAGACAGCTGAAGGAGAATGAAACACACACATCCACAGAAACAGAGAGGCGTAGGTGGCCCTGCCGTTGACCGCAGCCTCTCTGGACAGGCAAGGGGAGTTGGCGCAGGTGAGGACTCAGACGACGTCCACCGTCCCAAGGCTGTCACTAGTATTTCTCTGAAGTGCCTGAAGGTAGGAATGGGCCGGCGATTGGGACCAGCTGGGCCCCACCACGGCCACGCCAGGCAAAGCGCCAGCAGCCCTGCACTCCACGCTGGCCAAGAAGGCCTTCCACGCAGAATGACAAGACTGCAAAAATCCGATGTGCTTCCTTCCCTGGCGCAGTCGCTCCTCGAGCCGCTGCCCCCCACCCACCCTGCACCCCTCGCCCTCCCCCCACCACAGAATCTAAGACCTTTCAGCTTCGAGCCAGGGGGCGGGGGATCCCGAGCAAAAGCCTTCCGTGGACATCAGGCCCCGTGGCCTCAAGGGCTCCCAGGGCAAACCTAATTCCCCCCAAAACGTGAAGTCGGGGAAGCTGCGGCTACACATTCCACAAAGTGCTGGCACTTACACCCACAACCCGGAAGGCTGTGGACCGATTCCTCTAGGGTGGTGACCTCCCATTAGCAAACGGTGTCATGGTTTGGAATGTTCATTATCGCCAAGAACCTGGTTAGAGGCATAAAGACCTTTTTTCACCGTTACCTAATTTTTTCCCCTTTCAAGAATTTTTTTTTTTTTTGGTGTGTTGTACAGCAGTATAATTTTTCACTTATTTATTCCATCAGTAGATATGGTTTGTACAATGTACAATTGTTTCATTTCAGAAAATAAAAATTTCAAATCATGAATACCTTGTGGTTTTGTCTCATTTTAAGTAAGGTCAGATCGATGGTGACGGTGTCCCTCTCCAGCTGCTCCGGCCTCTCTTGCTTGGCCGTGTGGCCCTGATTCTACAAGACACACAAGTTCCTTGCACACAGGAGCTGTTGCCTTCCATAGTCATAAGAGCTGCCATTATTAAGCACCAGCTGGATGCCAGGCAAGCCACTAGTTGCTCCTTTCTGTGGGCAGGTATTGTTGGCCACCTTGTGCAGGTGAGAAAACAGCAGGACAGTCCCCTGCAGGGCTCTCATGCCGGGTCAGGCCCCCAGGTTGAAAGCCACACCTGAGGCCAGGCGTGGTGGCTCATGCTTGTAATCCCAGCACTTTGGGAGGCCGAGAAGGGCGATCACCTGAGGTCAGGAGTTCGAGACCAGCCTGGGCAACATGGCGAAACCCCGTGTCTACTAAAAATAGAAAAATTAGCCAGGTGTGGTGGCACACACCTTTAATCCCAACTAGTTGGGAGGCCAAGGCAGGAGAATGGCTTGAACCTGGGAGGCAGAGGTTGCAGTGAGCTGAGATCACGCCACTGCACTCCAGCCTGGGTGCAACAGAGTGAGATTCTGTCTCAAAAAAAAAAAAGCCACACCTGATCCGCCTACCCCGAGACCTGGGTTCCAGCAGGGACATGTTTTCAGCTTCCCTGTCTCTGAGGGGACTCTGGATTGTGGTAGGGACTCAGGGGCGTTAGTGCATGGGTGGACTGCAACCTCGGCTTGACTTGTCCTAACAGCCTCTAGTGACTTACATGGTTGGGCTGGAACCAGACCTTTCCCAGGGCTGTGACCCTTTCAGCCCAGACTCCTTCCCCCACGCTGACTTCCCCACCTCTGTCCAGCGTCACCTGGCCCTTGGGTCAGCCCCTAAAGAGAGCTGGCAGGGGTGGGGGTGTTGTGTCAGCGGGTCTAGGCCAAGCTGCACTGCGTGGACCGGCTGCAGGCAGATGCTCTCTCCTGTTTGTTCTGTCTGACTCTCCTTCCTACCCGTTCCTTTTTAACATGTTCCAGTGTTTTTACCAGAATTGGCTGCTCAGCTAAATAAACTCCTGATATGGAAAGTTCAGCCTGACAAAACACAAATCATAGAGGCCTTGTTTGCTTAAGGAAAAAAAATGCCTGAGCTGGCACACGTTCCCGCGCTTCCTTTCTGCCCTCCCTGCGTGTCTGTTCCCAGCTCTCACTCTCTGGATCGGTCCCTCCCTCCTCTCTCTAAGGCTTCTGCCCTTTCCCCCTGCCTCCCTTGTCTCCACCCGCCTAGATCACTGTCTCACAGTCATTCTGTGGAACTTCCTCTGTGTCTCTCACTGGAGCCGCCTAACTTCCTCTCCCACCTCCCTTCATCAAGGAGCAGTCTCATGCCCAGGAGCTAGAAATGTAGGCTTTGCCGGCATTGGTTGAGCTGTGCTGGGCCCTAGGCAGCGATGACTCAAACTTGACCCTTAACCCCCAGGCAGGTAAGTGAGCCGCAGTGCTTTACGATGCCGACCACAGTTTGGAATTAGGGGATACAGACATTCTGATGGCAAGGGTCAGGGAATCTCCTAGGACACTGGAGGAATACCAGGCCTGGGGCTAAGCAGCTCGTTTTTCCTTTTTGACACAAAGGAGGGGCTGGAGGCTTCTGAGCCAAGGCTCTGCTGGACTAGGGATGGTGTTGCCAATGAATAGCATGGATTGGAAAAGACCAGACTGGAAGTGGGAGCCGGGCAACTAGGGAACTGGAACAATAGGCCAAGCGGGGGGCCAGCGGTTGGCAACAGGGCCCATGTGGCCCCAGGCAATGTGAAGGCGGTCAGTAGGCAGGGAGGTGGGGTGGGAAAGGGATCAGCTGGGGGAGGTAGGCAGAAAAGGCTCAGGTCCAAGTTCCAGGCCATGCTAAGGCAACAAGTGTCACAGAGGTCCGTGGTGGGGCCGAGGATGGACTGCAGACCCTAAAGGCCAAGTCCAACTTCCCTCTATCGCTCCTCTGGGTGAAGAATGCATGTTTCCTCCAGAGTCTCAGATTAGATAGACATCCTTTGACCTTGTCTATCCAGTTCTGTTTCCCTCTTCTTCCCATAGGGGTCTCCCTCCCTCCCCGTCCTTAAGTGGGGCGGGCACTTAGCCCAGGGTGGTGATATGACCCAGTCCTATCCAATCACCATGGTCCCGCCTCCTGGCTACCACAATTGGCTCAGGGATGAGCACGTGGCCCATAGCAGCCCAGTGAGAGTCAGCCCTGGGTGGGAACTGGTGGGAAAGAATTCTGCTGGAGCATCTGGAGTTGCTCAAATGGAGTGGCTGTGGCCATCTTTCCTTACACGTGGGGAGGAATCAGCCTGAGAATGAAACCATCACAGGAAAGGGCTGAAAGACGGTGAGTGTGTGCTTTCTAAGGGCAGCATTTGGGCCTTGGCCCCAGCCGGCCCTGAAGCCAGCACAACCCCCGGAACGTCTCAATTTGTGAGCCAATAAATGCCCTTGATGGTTTAGGCAAGTTTTCACTGGGTCTTACCCGACGTGAGCCCCCACTCCTCCATATGGACCTGTTTTGGACCAATGAGGCATCCTCTTCTGTAGTCCTCAACACGCGGAGCTCCACCACTCCTGAGCAGTGTGACCTCAGGCAAGTATCTTAACCTCTCTGGGTCCCTGTTTCCTCATCTGTATAATGAGGACAATAATAATGCCTACCAGGGTTGTTGTGAGGATTAAATGAATACGTGTAAAGCGCTCAAGGCAGGCCCAGGCACACAGTGAATCTCAAATGTTAACTGCTATTTTATAGTTATTATCCTCGCGCACCTCTAGCTTTAGAAGACCAGTTCCGAGAGCAGGAGGCACAGGGAAGGGAAGAATGGCCCTCCCCTGGTTGCCTTGGGTTTGCCCTCAGTTACACTTTGCTCTCTGAAGACCCACCTCTTCCCCAAGTGATTGACACTGGAGTCATCCGCACAGCATGCTCCAGATGCGGCACAGCCTGAGTCAGGCCTTGTGGGATGCGCCCACCCGGGAACAGGAAGGAGAGACGTGCCTGACTGAGCAGAGGGCTGGAGGTCAGACAACACGTCCCTGCCCTGGGCACTGGCTGCTCAGTCATTAAAACAGACCCAAATAGCTTCTGGCCAGGGGCTCAAAGGAACAGCCTGTTAGAGACTCAGTTTTCCAGTCTCTCTTCACTGTTGTTCTCTCTCCACAGGTGGGGTTGGGGAGAGGCCTCGGGATGGCAAGGACCAGGGTCTGCGGCCAAGCCTGTGGGTCCTGTCTCCCTCTAGGATGCCCCTGGGACACTGGTACCCATGGATGCACTGGGTGACTTGAGGTCAATGGCTTTCTCTCTCCAGACCTAGGCAGAAAAAGCAATCTGCTTTGCATCAGAGAACCTCAAGAGGCTCTTAATCCTGCTCTTTTCTCCCTCTGGGCTCCCTCCGTGATGAGCTCATCTGACCTCCTGGCAACCCCGAAGGGTGGTTTAGAGCAGGGAATCAGCCTCCCGATTTACAGAAAGGATAACTCAGGCCAGGGAAGCGACTTGGACAGGGTCCTGCAGGGACTCAGTGAAGGAGGCTTCGGAACCCAGCCTGTCTTCCAGCAGGCCAGGAATCAGCAAATCTGGCTACCTGTTTTTTTATTTTTATTTATTTATTTATTTTGAGACAAAGTCTCGCTCTTGTCATCCAGGCTGGAGTGCAATGGCATGATCTCGGCTCACTGCAACCTCCGCCTCTGGGGCTCAAGCGATTCTCCTGCCTCAGCCTCCTGAGTAGCTGGGATTACAGGTGCCTGCCACCACGCCCAGCTAATTTTTGTATTTTTAGTAGAGATGGGGTTTCACCATGTTGGCCAGGCTGGTCTTGAACTCCTGACCTCAGGTGATCTGCCCGCCTTGGCCTCCCAAAGTGCCGGGATTACAGGCCTGAGCCACTATGCCCAGCCCACCTGATTTTTTTAAAATAAAGTTTTATTGGAACAAGCCATGCTTATTCATTTACATATTGTTCCTGGCTGCTTTCACCATGCAACAACAGAGTTGAATACAGATGCTCTTCAATTTACAGTGGGGTTACTTCCCAGTAAGCCCATAAATTGGCCTGTGGTCCCAGCTAACTTGAAAGGCTGAGTGGGAGAATCACTTGAGCCTGGGAGGTCAAGGCTGCAGTGAACCCTGATGGCGCCACTGCACTCCAGCCTGGGTGACAGAGTGAGACCCTGAGTGAGGGTCCCAAGTAGCTGGAAGCCTACAGGTGCATTCCGCCATGCGCGGCCCTTTTTTTTTTTTTTTTTTTTTTTTGGTAGAGACTGGATTTTACCATGTTGCCCAGGCTGCTGTTGAACTCCTGGCTTCAAGTGATCCTCCTACCTTGGCCTCTGTAAGCATTTACAGGGATTACAGGCATGAGCCACTGTGCCCAGCCCTGAATATTTAATCAACATGTAAGGGTGTAGCTCAATGATTTTTCACCCACTGAACACACCTGCATGACTTGCATCTGCATCAATAAACAGAATATCACTAATCCCCAGTCCCCTTCTTATCCCTGTCTAGTCACTACCCCTCGAAGTGTGGCCGACACCCTGACTTCTACCTGCACCGATTTCTTTGGCTTATTTTTTAGCTTTACATACACAGAATGATGTAGTGTGTGCTCTTGTGTGTCTAGCTTCTTTCACTCAACATGGTATTTGTGAGATTCAGTACTGCTGTGTGAGACTGTATGTCATTCATTCTCATTGCTGGAGAATATTCCGTGGGATGAGTGTACCACAATGTGCTTATCCATTCTTTGGACATTTGAGATATTTCCAGCCAGGGTGGTGGGGAGAATTATGAATTCTGGAGGATCGCTTGAGGCCAGGATTTCAAGACCAGCCTGGGCAACATAGCCAAACCCCATCCCAAAAAAAATTTAAAAATTAGCCAAGCATGTGATACACACCTTTAGTCCCAGCTACCCAGGAGGCTGAGGTGTGAGGATCGCTTGAGCCCAGGAGTTGGAGAGTGCAGTAAGCCAAAATTGTGCCACTGCACTCCAGCCTGGGCAACAGAGCAAGATCTTATCTAAAAAAAAAACGAAACAAAAAAATGGCCTGGCAAAATCTTTGTGACTTTGGTTAGCGAAAGCTTTTTGCTAAACGTTTGCCTAACCCCCTCCCCACCGAACAAAAAAAAAACTTCTTTTTGCCTGTAAATCCATCACTTTGGGAGGCTGAGGCAGGCAGATCACTTGAGGTCAGGAGTTTGAGAACCAGCCTGGGCAACATGGTGAAACTCTGTCTCTACCAAAATACAAAAGTTAGCCGAGTGGCCGGGCATGGTACACCTGTGATCCCAGCACTTTGGGAGGCCAAGGTGGGTGGATCATCTGAGGTCAGGACTTTGAGACCAGCCTGGCCAACATGGTGAAACCCCATCTCTACTAAAAGTACAAAAAATTAGCCAGGAGTGGTGGTGGGCGCCTGTAATCCCAGCTATTTAGGAGGCTGAGGCAGGTGAATTGCTTGAACTTGGGAGGCGGAGGTTGTAGTTAGCTGAGATTGCTCCACTGCACTCCAGCCTGGGCAAAAAGAGTGAGACTCTGTCTCAAAAAAAAAAAAGTTAGGGCCAGGCATGGTGGTGCGCACCTGTAATCCCAACTATTCAGGAGGCTGAGGCCCCAGAATCACTTGAACCCAGGAGATGGCGGTTGCAGTGAGGCGAGATTGCGTCACTGCACTCTAGCCTGGGTGATGAAGTGAGATTCTGCCTCAAAAAAAAAAAAAAAAAAATTCCAAACCCACACCCATCTATTTCTTCACCCTTCTGTGCCTCAGTTTTCTTATGTGTAAGATAAAGGTAACTGTCCCTGACCTGCCCACCTCCCAGGGTTGTGTGGGAACCAGTTAGATCTGGACCTTTGAGGAAGGCTGTACAAACTGTTGAGGGCTTTTCAGCCATGAAACTCTTCTGCCCGTACCCCATAAATACAATTAGGTGCTTGCTGCAGAGGCATCGGGGGTCTCTGGCCAGAGGTGACATCTGAAGCAATCGGGATCCTGTTTGGTTTTGCCACATCCGACCTGCCGCCCAGCTGGGGCAAGACAGCCACGCGCGGCGGATGCACCGGCCCTGAACTCTTTCTCGAGTAGTCCCCAGAGGTAGCTGCTGCCTTTCAGTTTCTGCACTTGTTTATTTTCAAAGGGACGTTGCCAGACCACGAGGCCACCCTGCCCTTTCATGGTTTGTTTTATGCAGATTTCAGGAAGAGAGAGAAGAGGTAAAGAGACCAGAAACAAAGTCTTCTGCAAGCAAAGAACTGCAACAGGCCCCAGCTGTTAGGTTTGAGGGGCGTATGGGGCAGGCGACTGAACTGCAGAGTTGGAGCCAGAGGTACCATTGCTGACCCCTGAGCCCAGGAGCCTTGAGAATACTGACAGTGTTAATAATAACTGCAATCATCCAACATATGATGCTAGAATAACTGGACATCTGTGTGCAAAAATATTAAACCTATACCTTGCACCTTATCACAAAATTCACTCAAAATAGATCATAGACCAAAATGTGAAACATAAAACTAAGACTTCCAGGGGAAAACAGGAGAAAATCTTTGTGACTTTGGGGTTAGGCAAAGCTTTTTGCTAAAGACATTGATAAGAGATTGAAAAAACAAGCAGATTGCCAGATGATCTTTGCAAAACATGTATCTGATAAAAGACTTGTAGCCAGAACATATAAAGAACTCTCTTTTTTTCTTCGTTGTTCTTTTTTTTTTTTTTTTGAGATGGAGTCTCACTTTGTCGCCCAAGCTAGAGTGCAGTGGGGCAATCTCAGCTCACTGCACCCTCTGCCTCCTGGGTTCAAGCAATTCTCCTGCCTCAGCCTCCCAAGTAGCTGGGATTATAGGGCATGCGCCACCATGCCCAGCTAATTTTTTTTTTTTTTTTTGAGACGGAATCTCGCTCTTATTGCCAGGCTGGAGTGCAGTGGTGCGATCTTGGCTCACTGCAACCTCCAACTCCCTGGTTCAAGCGATTCTCCTGCCTCAGCCTCCCGAGAACCTGGGATTACAGGCACACTCCACCACGCCCAGCTAATTTTTATATTTTTGGTAGAGATGGGGTTTTGCCATATTGGCCAGGCTGGTCTCGAACTCCTGACCTCAAGCAATCCGCCCATCTCGGCCTCCCAAAGTGCTGGGATTACAGGTGTGAGTCACCACACCCAGCCTCTTTTTCCTTTTCTTTCTTTCTTTTTTTTTTTTTGAGACAGGGCCTTGCTCTGAGCTGGAGTGCAGTGGTGTGATCACGGCTCACTGCAGCCTCAACCTCCCGGGCTCAGGTGATCCACCCACCTCAGTCCCCCAGGTAGCTGTGATCATGCCACTGCACTCCAGCCTGGGCGACAGAGCAAGACCCTATCTCTAAATTTTAAAAAAGTGCAAAAATCTGGATGTAAATATTTACACTGGTCTTATTCATAACCACCAAAAACTAGAAACAACTAAAATGGCTTCAACTGGTAAATGTATAAACACGCAGTGGTACGTTCATAAAATGAAATACTATGCAGCAATAAAAAGGAATGAGCTACAGATACATGCAGCAGCAGGGCAGAATCTCAGATGTATTATGCTAAGTGAGAGAAGCCACACTCAAGGCTACTTTTTGAAGGATTCTGTTCCGGAAAAGGCAAAACAATGGGAACAAGAAACAGATGGGTAGTTGCCAGGGACTAGAATGCAGAGAGGGACTGACTACAAAGGGCAAGTGGGAACTGGGGGTGACGATGGGTACTGGAACTGGTGTGTGTGTGTGTGTGTGTGTGTTTGTGTTTGTATACGTGTCTATGTATGTATATGCGTGTGTGTATATTTTTTAAGAGACAAGGTCTTGTTCTGTCATCCAGTCTGGAGTGTAATGGCACGATCATAGCTCACTGCAGCCTCGAACTTCTGGGCTCAAGGGATTCTCCTGCCTCAGCTGCCCGAGTGGCTGGGACCACAGGCTCATGCCACCATGCCTGGCTAATTTTTAATTTTTTTGTACCAACAGGATCTTGCCATCTTGCCCAAGTTGGTTTCCAACTCCTGGGCTCCAGCGATCCTCCCCCCTCAGCCTCCCAAAGTGCTGGGATTACAAGTGTGAGCCACTGTGCCTGTCCTGTCCTATATCTTTTTTTTTTTTTTTTGACAGAGTCTCACTCTGTCGCCCAGGCTGGAGTGCAGTGGTGCAATCTTGGCTCACTGCAACCTCCGTGTCCCAGGTTAAAGCAATTCTGCCTCAGCCTCCCAAGTAGCTGGGATTACAAGCTCATGCCACCACGCCCAGCTAATTCGTGTATTTCACCATGTTGGCCAGGCTGGTCTTGAACTCCTGACCTCAAATGATCCACATGCCTCAGCCTCCCAAAGTGCTGGGATTACA
Source organism: Homo sapiens (assembly GCF_000001405.40). Classification (NCBI taxonomy): domain Eukaryota; kingdom Metazoa; phylum Chordata; class Mammalia; order Primates; family Hominidae; genus Homo; species Homo sapiens. The sequence continues at coordinate 12,726 of NW_011332697.1, forward strand.
GGCATGAGCCACCGCGCCCGGCCCTGTCTTATATCTTGATTGCGGTAGTGTTCACTTGACTGTATATGTTTGTCAAAACTCCTGGAACTGTACATTAAAAAGAACTTTTCCAGGTGCAGTGGCTCATGCCTGTAAACCCAGCACTTTGGGAGGCTGAGGCAGGCGGATCATTTGAGGTCTGGAGTTCAAGACCAGCCTGGCCAACAGGGCGAAAACCCGTCTCTACTAAAAATACAAAAATTAGCCGGGCATGGTGGCATGTGCCTATAGTCCCAGCTACTCGGGAGGCTGAGGCAGGAGAATCGCTTGAACCCAGGAGGTGGACGTTGCAGTGAGCTGAGATTGTGCCACTGCACTCCAGCCTGGGCAACAGAGTGGGATTCTGTCTCAAAATAAATAAATACATAAATGAATAAAGAGGACAGTCAGACTGTGCACAGTGGCTCATGCTTGTAATCCCAGCACTTTGGGAGCCCAAGGCAGGAGGATCCCTTGAGCCCAGGAATTCTTTTTTTTTTTTTTTTTTTTTTTCTTGAGGCAGAGTCTAATTCTGTCGCCAGCCAGGTTGGAGTGCAGTGGTGATCTCGGCTCACTGCAATCTCCGACTCCCAGGTTCAAGCGATTCTCCTGCCTCAGCCTCCCGAGTAGCTGAGATTACAAGCGTGTGCCATCACGCCCGACTAATTTTTGTATTTTTAGTAGAGACGGGGTTTCACCATGTTGGCCAGGATGGTCTTGATCTCCTGACCTTGTGATCCGCCCGCCTCGGCGTCCCAAAGTGCTGGGATTACAGGCGTGAGCCACTGCACCCGGCCAGAGCCCAGGAATTCAAGACCAGCCTGGGCAACATAGGGAGACCATGTCTCTATAAAAAAATTAAATAATATAAAAATAAAGAGGATAGTTGCTCCTGAGCTCCAGCTGCTGACACGTGGAAATAAGGGCCCGGTATTGTCAGGTGTTCTGATAGTACAGGAAAATCCTAACTTTTCTTTTTTGAGACAGAGTGTTGCTCTGTCACCCAGGCTGAAGTATAATGGCGTGATCTCAGCTCACTGCAACCTCCGCCTCCCGGGTTCAAGCGATTCTCCTGTCTCAGCCTGCCGAGTAGCTGGGACTACAGGCATGGGCCACCACGCCCGGCTAATTTTTGTATTTTTAGTAGAGACGGGGTTTCACCATGTTGTCCAGGCTGATCAACTTCTGACCTCAAATGATCCACCCACCTTGGCCTCCCAAAGTGCTGGGATTATAGGCGTGAGCCACCGGCGCCCAGCCAATCCTAACATTCTAATGTCTATAATATGAAATGTCATGATTTTTACAATGTTAGCAAATCATTCAAAATTTTAGTAAACTGTCTAGATGTTAGTTTTTACTATGGTAAAAACATCGGCCAGGCGCGGTGGCTCATGCCTCTAATCCCAGCACTTTGGGAGGCCGAGGCGGGCGGATCACAAGGTCAAGAGATCGAGACCATCCTGGCTAACACAGTGAAACCCCGTCTCCACTAAAAATACAGAAAACTAGCCAGGTGTGGTGGCAGGCGCTTGTAATCCCAGCTACGGGAGGCTGAGGCAGGAGAATGGTGCGAACCCGGGAGGCGGAGGTTGCAGTGAGCCGAGATTGGGCCACTGCACTCCAGCCTGGACGACAGAGCAGACTCCATCTCAAAAAAAAAAAAAATGGTCACCCCTTTTGCTCCTAAATCACCCTCAAAGTAAAAGAGAACAAGAAACAGAAGCAGAAATCCATATTTAGTGAAATAAGACAACACCTGTAGCTCCAAACCTGTAGAAGCAGATCCCAGAGAAAAGCAGGCCAGTTCTCTCCTGGAATCCCAGAAAGTCCCAGGAATTGGAGGCTTCAGTGCTGCAGTAGGGAGGGGACTAAAAACAAAGTCTGTATATGGAGCAGTAAGACCTCCGGGTTCTCATCCCCCATCCTGTGTGCTCTCGGGTGACTAGCCCTCTCCCTCTCCAGGTTTAGCTTCTGGAGAAATTAAATCAAAGAGGCTCTAGAACTGGGGATGGCAGGCATTGAGTGCAGGGAGTGAGTTGCCAGAGGCTGAGAGCAGAGAGATTTAGTGGCAGTGGGCAGAGCAAACAGCAAAATGACTGCCCTCTTCCCTGGCCTTGCTCCAGAAACTGAGCAGCCAGACATACACACTCCCAGAAGGCAGTTGGAGGTCCCCCCGGGCAATCAGAACCACCCACAGAGAAGACCTCCAGATACTGACATTTAGAAGCCTCTGACCAAAGAGCTGCCTGGCCACCCACTGGCTTACTCGCTGACAGGCCATGCTCCTGCCGTACACACCGATCCTATCAGTCATCCTCATGGGCTCCTTTCCAGACTTCTGAGGAAAGCTTCCAACATGAAGAGGGAGTTCAAAACAAACAGAGAGAGAGAGAGAGAGAGAGAGAAAAGAAATATAAACAATGCAGGGAGCAAAAGATAACTTCAAATAAACTCAAAATATTCTTCTGGGAGAGATGAGACAATATTGCATACATAAAACAAGAAGAGGATGCTATCACTAAATTTTAAAAAAAAGTAACAGAAAGTAAGAAAGACCTCTAAGAAATGTTTCTGAAATGAGGTATAATTTTTTTTTTTTTGAGAGGGAGTCTTACTCTGTCACCCAGGCTGGAGCGCAGTGGCGTGATCTCAGCTCACTGCAACCTCCGTCTCCCAGGTTCAAGCGATTCTCGTGCCTCAGTGCCCCGAGTAGCTGGAATTACAGGTACACACCACCACGCCTGGCTAATTTTTGTATTTTTAGTAGAGGCGGGGTTTACACCATGTTGGCCAGGCTGGTGTCAAACTCCTGACCTCAGGTGATCCACCTGCCTTGGCTTCCCAAAGTGCTAGGATTACAGGCGTGAGCCACTGGACCTGGCGAAAACTCTTTTTTTAATCATAACTTTAAAAACCCAGTTTTAAGTTTTATTTTTTGTGCTACACTGTTTCTTGTGTTCCATATCGTTCTCGTACTTGAATTTCATTTTTGTCTTCTTGGAGAGAACAACCTCTAGTAGTAATTCTTTCTAATGTGGCCAATGGATGAAAAGACTATTTTACCTTCTATCCTCTAAAATTTATTGAGGTGACAATATAAGGAGCTCAAACAACTCTACAGGAAAAAAAATCTAATCATCTGATTTAAAATGGGCAAAAGAACTGAATAGACATTTATCAAAAGAAGACATACAAATGGCAAACAGGTATATGAAAAGATGCTCAACATCACTGATCATCAGAGTAATGCAAATCAAAACTACAACGAGGCCAGGTGTGACGGCTCACACCTGTAATCCCAGCACTCTGGGAGGGTGAGGTGGGAGGATCACTTAAGCCCAGGAGTTCAAGACCAGCCTGGGCAACATGGGGAGACCCAGTCTCTACAAAAAATTAATAAATTGGCCAGGTGTAATGGCACATACCTGTAGTCCAAGCTACTCTGGAGGCTGAAGTGGGAGGATCACTTGAGTCCAGGAGGTAAAGGATGCAGTAAGCCTTGATTGTATTACTGCACTCCAGCCTGGGCAACACAGTAAGACCCTGTCTCAAAACAAACAAACAAAACAACAACACACTAAATGAGAAATCATCTGTATTAGTCCATTTTCACACTACTGATAAAGGCATACCCGAGACTGAGCAACTTACAAAAGAAAGAGGTTTAAGGGACTCACAGTTCCATGTGGCTGGGGAGGCCTCACAATCATGGTGGAAGGTGAAAGACACATCTCACATGGCCGCAGACAAGAGAAGAGAGCTTGTGCAGGGAAACTCCCCTTTTTAAAAATCATCAGATCTCATGAGACTTATTCACTATCACTAGAACAGCACAGGAAAGGCCTGCCCCCCATGATTCAATTACCTCCACCGGGTCCCTCCCACAACACATGGGAATTCAAGATGAGATTTGGGTGGGGACACCCAAATCATATCATCATCTCACCCCAGTTAAACCATATCATCATCTCACTCCAGTTAATGCAGCTCTTGGCTGGGCACAGTGGCTTGTGTCTGTAATCCCGGCACTTTGGGAGGCCAAGGTAAGCAGACAATTTAAGTTCAGGAGTTCCAGAGCAGCCTGGTGAACATAGTGAAACCCTGTCTTTACTAAAAATACAAAATTTAGCTGGGCATGGTGGCGGGCCCCTGTAATCCCAGCTACTCTGGAGGATGAGGCAGGAGAATTGCTTGAACTGAGAGGAGGTTCATAAAATAAAAATAAAGGCTGTGTTTGTATCGCTGGGAAATTTTCTTTTATTGCTGCTTTGGTTATTTCCTCTCTTGTTTACTTCTTTCTTTCTGTAACTATCTAGATGGATCCTCCATGTCACAACTTCTCTTTTCCTTTTGGCAGTTTTCTGGGAGAAACCCTCAGTTTGTTTATTTATTTTGAGATGGAGTTCGCTCTTGTTGCCCAGGCTGGAGTGCAATGGCGTGATCTCGGCTCACCAAAACCTCTGCCTCTTGGGTTCAAGTGATTCTCCTGCCTCAGCTTCCTGAGTAGCTGGGATTACAGGCATGCGCCACCATGCCTGGCTAATTTTGCATTTTTAGTAGAGACGGGGTTTCACCATGTTGGCCAGGCTGGTCTGAAACTCCCGACCTCAGGTGATCTGCCCACCTCAGCCTCCCAAAGTGCTGGGATTACAGGCATGAGCTACCGTGCCTGGCCTGTGTATTTTTGGAGACAGAGTCTTGCTCTGTTGCCCAGGCTGGAGGGCAGTGGTGCAAACTCTGCCTCCCGGGTTCAAGCGATTCTCGTGCGTCACCTCCCAAGTAGCTGGGGCTAGAGGCATGTGCCACCATGTCTGGTTACTTTTTATATAAACCTTCAGTTTAATCTTTTAGCTTACTGCTGTGTTTTTCAGCTTTATTCACTTTGCTTTTTTTCTATATTTTCGTTTCAACTCAACTTTTAAAAAATCATACTTGTATATTTGTATATTTATATTTATTTTCCAAGACCTCATTTGCCTCTTTTTCATAATGGGCTATTATTGCTCCATGGTACAGAATCTTCTGTTCTTTCCTAAACTATTAGTTATTTTTAAAATATTTGTTAACTTTCTCCCCCTTGCTAGTTCTCAGGTACCCGCTTTCTCCCAGAGTGCTGGCTTTCCTTAATTATTTGCTGACTTGTGCTGGTGTGTAACCCTTCATACTTAGGTATTTCTATTTGTCTGACTGCTGATTTGATTCCAATCCAGTGTTTCTTCTGATTCGTGGAGAAGAGACGACAACGCTGTGAGGCTCTGGTTTTGGTGGCTTGTCTGGGTGTGGGAGCTCCTTGTCATCATGGGATTTTTAGCTCCCTGGGTCGCCATCCTACATGGCCACTCTCCTGCCGATGCTGCCCGCTACTCAGCAGGAGGGGAAGTCGAGACCACCTCCTTAACCTTACAGACATTGATTGTGAGCTTGGAGCACCTTCCGTGACTGGACCACCCATGCAGTGGTCCTTTGCTTTTTGCATTTTTAACTGCAATTTTCCCCAAGAGTCTTCCCTAATACAGTCTCTTAGGAATTGACGGTGGGATTAAACAAGGCATGTTTCTGCACTGAATATGGTCTATGGGTTGCCACTTTGCAACCTCAGCTTTAAGGCTTATTTCCTCCCAGGAAACTGATGTTAACTTTTTAAGTTAAAAATGTGTATATAAGTAATACATGTTTATTTTGGAAATTAGAAAATACAGGCCAGGTGTGGTGGCTCATGCCTGTAATCCCAGCATTTTGGGAGGTTGAGGCAGGAGGATTGCCTGAGCCCAGGAGTTTGAGACCAGCCTGGGCAACATAGGGAAATTCCATCTCTACAAAAAAATTAAACATTAGCTGGGTGTGGTGGTGCCCACCTGTGGTCACAGCTACTCGGGAGACTGAGGTGGGAGGATAGCTTGGGCAGGGGAGGTTGAGGCTACAGTGAGCCACGATCACACCAATGTGACACAGTGAGACCCTGTCTCAAAAAAAAAAAAAAAGAAAGAAAATATAGGTAAACACAAAGACAAAAAAGCAGGGCATGGTGGCTCACACCTGTAATTCTAGCACCTTGGGAGGCTGAGGCAGGAGGATCACTTGAGGTCAGGAACTCGAGACGAGACCAGGCTGGGCAGCATGGCGAGACCCCATCTCTATAAAAAGTACAAAAATTAGCAGGGCACGGTGGTGTGCACCTGTGGTCCTGCTACTTGGGAAGTTGAGGTGGGAGGATCACCTGAGCCCTGGAGGTTGAGGGTGCTGTGAGCCATGATGGCACCACTCCACTCCAGTCCAGGTGAAAGAGCCAGATCCTGTCTCAAAAAAAAAAAAAAAAAAAAGTGGCTGGGCATGTAAACTTACCAAGGACCAAGGAGACAAGTCTTGAGAGAAAGGAAGGCAACTCAAAGGATGGACTTTTAAACACTTGTAACCAGCATTGGGAACAGTAGTAGGTTGAAGAGGGAAATCTAGAACTCATGCCTGAAAACTGCCAGTCATCCAGCCCATTTTTCCATACAGACATTTGGAAATAAGTTAATGGAGCCATTTTGGTGAGAGCCCTCTGTTCCCTTCAGGAGGCCTTTGTCAGGAAGAGGGTGGGGCAGGGGACTCACCCCCCACTCAAATCTGGAACTGAAACCAGCTTCAAAGCCGAGTGCAGAGCCAGCGCGGTGGCTCATGCCTGTCATCCCAGCACTTTGGGAGTCCAAGGCAGGCCTCACTTGAGGTCAGGAGTTCCAGACCGGCCTGGCCAACATGGTGATTGCACCACTGCGCTACAGCCTTGGGTGACAGAGCAAGACTCTGTCTCAAAAAACAAAACAACAATAAAACAAAGCAGAGTGCAGGAGTGGCTGTGGACTCTGGACGCCCTGCTAGGATTAGGATGGGTGTTCCTGGCTCATGGGCCTCACTGGCTCTTCTGATGCCCTGCCACCCCCACCCCAGACTGGCTTTGAGCCCCGGAAACCTTGACAGCTTTCTAGAGGTGTCTGTCAGTTAGGTTGTGCCACGCGAAGTTGCCGTTTCTGCAGGTCAAATAGTGGTGGACTATTGGCAATTTCTAGGCACCTCTGGTCTGGTTGATCCAAATCCTCCAACCTGTGGCACATTTATTTAGCGCTCATTTTGTGCCAGCCTGCCTGCTAAGCAACTTATAGCCATTTTTATTTGTATTTATTTTTCTTTTTGAGACAGGGCCTCGCTCTGTCGCCCAGGCTAGAGTGCAATGGCGCAATCTCGGCTCACTGCAACCTCCACCTCCCGGATTCAAGCGATTCTCCTGCCTCAGCCTCCCGAGTAGCTGGGATTACAGGGGTGCACCACTACGACCGGCTAATTTTTGTTATTTTTAGTAGAGACAGGGTTTCACCGTGTTGGCCTGGCTGGTCTTGAACTTCTGGCCTCAAGTGATCCACCCGCCTCGGCCTCCAAAAGTGCTAGGATTACAGGCATGAGCCACCGCGCCCCACTATAGCCATTTTTAAACTGTCCCAAGTTTCTGAGGAAACGGAATTGTTCACCATTTGACAGAGAAGAAAACTCTGGCTCAGATACTCCCCTTTTAGAATTGTTTCGGGGGCTGGCTCGTCCGTCAAACTTTAAAAAAATAACAACAGCATGCTGAGTTGAAGTTAAAAGAGCTGGGGTCTGGAGGTCGCTGGGCTCAGGGGCGCTGCCACTCAACAGCTGCGCCGAGCTGGGGACGCGCAGGGGAAGCAAGTTCCCAGCTCTGTGGACTCCAGGTCTGAGAAAAATCCTGTCGGTATTCAGCCACCCAGTGTTCCCATCAATACGATGAGAATAATGAGGACAATAGCCACCACGTCCGGCAAACTCAGGCGTGAGCTGCGAGGACTCGGTACCGCCCGGCAGGGAAAAAGCAGGGCCTGGAGGCCGAGGAGCCCCACCCGCACCCACCACGTGGAGCCGGCCGGGCCTGCGGCGAAGCCACAGGGCGACTCCCGGGGCGCGGAGCGGGGCGGGGGCGGGACTAGCACGGCCCCACTCTGCCGACGCCTCTCCCAGGTCGCGACACCGGCGAGCCGCTCCGCCCGGCCACCGTGTCCCTCAGCACCCACGGACGCCGGGAGAGGAGGAGGTGGCGAGGGGCACGGCCGGGAGGCGTGGCCTCCGCTTCCCCTTTTTTTTTTTTTTTGGTCCGCCTAGCTAAGGAAAGGTTCCCCTGCGCCTTTAAGAGGCCGACGCGGGCAGCCGATTGGCCCAGACGCCTCGGTGACGTCACGCCGGGGCCGGAGCCCTCCCCCTCCCGCCGCGCCGCGCGCTCGCGGACAGTCGGCGCGCGGGCCGGGCCGGGCCGGCGCCCCTCTGCCTCGCGCGCTTGTCGCGTTGCCCCGGGCTCCGGGGGATGCCCCCGGCCGAGCCCTTCTCATGGCCGCCGACGTCTTCATGTGCTCCCCGCGCCGGCCTCGCAGCCGGGGCCGCCAGGTGCTGCTCAAGCCCCAGGTGTCCGAGGACGACGACGACTCGGACACGGATGAGCCGTCCCCGCCGCCCGCCTCCGGCGCGGCCACCCCGGCCCGGGCCCACGCGAGCGCCGCGCCACCGCCGCCTCGGGCCGGGCCGGGCCGCGAGGAACCTCCGCGCCGCCAGCAGATCATCCACAGCGGCCACTTCATGGTGTCGTCGCCGCACCGAGAGCACCCGCCCAAGAAGGGCTACGATTTCGACACGGTCAACAAACAGACGTGCCAGACCTACAGCTTCGGCAAGACTAGCTCCTGCCACCTGTCCATCGACGCCTCGCTCACCAAGCTCTTCGAGTGCATGACTTTGGCCTACAGGTAGGGACCCCCGCGACCCCCTGAGGCCCCGGCCGGAGGCCCTTGTTTGACAAAACAAGCGTGGAGGGAAGGGCCGCCTGGCAACCCCGTGGCTTCATGCATTCCCTTTGGGTCTTCCTCCTTCGGGAGGGTTTATGGATCTGGGGTTCCCCGCGTTGCCAGAGGAGCCGGGGTCCTGGCCTCTTCCCCTGCCAGCAGTGCCGGGGTCCTTTCGGGTTCACGTTCCCCATCCAGGCCCTCCCCTCCAGTGTCCTGGGACCACCGATGTTGGACGAGGAAGAGGTATAAACACTGGCTGCATCTTGTGTTACCCGACTCTATCGACTCCTTCCTCCAAACGCTTTGTGTGTTTCCCCCATATCCAGCAGCGGTCAGGACCACCTGTTCGGGGTGACTGGAGGCTGGCTCTGCTGTTTAATGGTTGTGTAACACCTCGGAGCCTGTTTCCTCCTTTATAAAAGGGGAATGACTGTAGTGTCTGCCTCCAAGGGGCTGTTGTGGGGATGGAGTGAGATAGGTAAATTGCTTATTCCAGTGCTTGGCCAGAGTTAGGTGTCCCTGCACCTGGAGGCTGGCCCCCTTACAACCTCATCGGGAGGCCCGCCCCCATCTCGGGAGGGCTTTGGGTGCCTCCTAAGAAGACTTTTGGTGCCACAGCTGTTGGAGGTGCAGTCTGTCCTTCTGGCAAGTTGGAGGGTTTTCTGGCCGGTCCTGAAACATTATATGAGGGAGATGTCATTGTTGAGGGCAGACATCCCAGACACCGTTCTGACATGTGGATTCGGCTCTGGGCAGAGATTCCTCTTTTCCAAGTCACAGAAAATGCCTGGCCCTCAAAGATTAAAGCGCTTTTTCACTCTCTCTCCCTTTCCCACTATGAATATTAGGTATTTGCTGCAGGTAACTTTTTTGTCTGCGCAACAGAACTTCTTTGGACTGGCAGCAGCGGCCTTGAGCAGCTTGGCCCTGCAGAAAGCTCATGATGGGATCTCTGCTGAGTTAAGCTTATTGCATTAGGAACTGGACTAGCGGGGGCTGTCTTAGGTCTGCTCTGGAGGCATCGCGGGAGAAGTTTCCTAGGAGACTCCATAAACAGCGTAATAAAAGAGCAGGAATATCTTGCCCCCTCTCACCTCACCTTTTTAAGAGAGCTGTGAGCCCCAAGCATATCCAGGTTTAAATGTTATGCTTTTACCTGAAGTTAAAATATTAGATACTTAGCCCTGGATGGCACCCCCCTCACCGCCGCGGTCCCTGGAATAAACGATTAGTCAACTTGTTCTTTGTTATGTTCCTGAAACACCCCTATTTCCTCTCTTGAAGGTTTCCCTGATGATCTGTTCCCGTAGCTCCTCCTCCCATCCCCCTTACCCGGCACATTGGTCAGTCTCTGCTGATTCTCTGGTCTTGCCAGTTTGAGCTGGCACTGAGCCTGTAAAGATGTTCTGCTTTTTAAAAAACAAATGGTGTTGAGGCTGCAGCCCTGTGCGCCCTCCAGTCTCTGATTTTGAGCAGTTCCATTGGAATCAAACCCGACTGGATCGCAGCATATGCTATGCCTCGAGAGAGCCTTTTCAAACAAAGCTCGAGGTGAAAGACTGGAATGTATCTTATTAAGAAAACTTAATCCTCTTCTTTATTTTAATATAAACTTCTACATATACAGGGAGAGAATGGATGAGTCACGGGGGGCATGGACTGGAAAGGTCTCACCTAAGTAAGCTCTGCTAAATGAAAACTAAATCAGTCTCCCCTTTGCACTCTTGTTTGGATAACCTAAAGGCTTATTAAACAACACCAAATAATTTTAGTAATGGCATTTTTTTTTTCATTTCTCTCAAAAATATTTTGGCAGCTGGCCGTTGCTCAGTTAACTTTCTTGATTGCAAAATGCACCATCAGTTTGGTGCAAGAAGCTTATCTTGCTCTCTTGGCTCTCTCACTTTCGCTGCTTTTCCCTGTGCCTAAGGTCTCCTGCTGCCTAAGGTCGGCCACCTAAGGTCTACCACCACAGGCCCTCGGATGGGATCTGTCCAGTCATTTCTCATGAAGATGCCCTTTGTCTGTCTGTGTGAGGCTGGTTTGTCCAGTGCTGAGTTTAGTTGGCAGTGTAGAACTTTGGTATGGATGACAGACAAATGACTCAAAACCAGTTGTCTGGGCTGTAGTCTGTGGCACAGAAAGAAACTAGAGGAAGGTGAGTTTCTGACCCCAGCTCTCCTAGTGAGAACTGCTACCTGGCTTTCAGGGAAGGAAGGTTGAGATCGGAGGCAACGCGGGGCGTGGTGGCTCATGCCTGTAGTCCCAGCACTTTGGGAGGCCGAGGTGGGGGATTGCTTGAGCCCAGGAGTTCAAGATCAGCCTGGGCAATGTAGCAAGATCCCCATCTCTAAAAAAGAAAAAGAAAGAAAGAAAAAAAGGGATTGGGGGCAGGGCAGAAAGAAGACTTAACCTCAGAGCCTGTCTGGCTTCCATCCTGGTGGGGTTCATGCCTTCCCTGCCGGCTGTCTGGGTCCTCCCCTCCTGCCCGAGCTGAGAAAGGCCAGCTGGGTCTCCTCTTCTGTGTGACTGTTTCTGGCCTAGGTTCTTTCTAACTTCAACTTCCTGTCTGTCCTCTGGCCTCTTCGTTCTAGCTGTCTAACTCTCCGTGGTACACTCTGCTTTTTGTTGTTGTTGTTTGATTTCCTGTTAGCTGCTGCCTCCCAGCTGTTTCCAGATGAGGTTCAACAGCTCTCTGGGGAGGAACTAAGTGCAGGGGAAGTTGTGGTTATTTTTTACCGAGTCCTGAGAAGTGGCCTAGGGATTCTGACTGTGATCCATTCCTGAACTGGCAGGGCTTCACCTCCTGAAGGGTCTTTGCCCGGGGCTGACTTTGGGTGTGGAACAGGGTGTTTGAGGACTTGGATATGAGTGTGCCCAGGGCCTGCTGGGTAGGGAACCGTGCAGATGGGATTCCTTGTCCTTCTCACTCAGTTTTGCTGAGAAGCCCTGTGGCGAAGGGTCTTGATTTGGTCCAGAAACATGTGCTCAATTATTGGGACATTTTGGAGAGAAGGGGTTGCCTTTCCCCGAGGCAAACCAGGTGTTAATGATGGAAAAAATCCTTATTTTTCCTTAGACTTATCTGAAGTCTAAGAATGCTATTCAATGGGAAAGATAAAATTTCCCTGCAAGGTGGAAGTGAGGATCAGCAGAGATAACCTCTGGGAATGGAGCTGGGAATGGGGCTAGTGCCTGGCAAGTAACACACAAGAGGAGGGTTTAACGGGCTCCGCATAGCAAGTGGGTTATGGCAGAATTTTAGTTCTGCATCTGCATTCATCTGACATTTATGAGGAGCCCGTGTCTTATCTATGAACTGAAGGAAATAGTGTATCTAACCAGGGTCTTAGCTGAGCTTTCAAATGCCTGCTTGACAAATACTAAATAGAAGCATTCTTGATTTGGCCGGGTGCTTTCTGAGGCTCTACAATGGAGCTATGTACTGTAGAACATAGTTCATGGTTCTTGCCCTCTTGACACTGTAAGGAATGTCACACATGTATATCCTTCACACAGAATTTCCTTTTTTTGAGATAGGATCTCGCTCTGTTTCCCAGTCTGGAGGATAGTGATGTGATCACAGCTCACTGCAGCCTTGACCTCCCAGGCTCAAGCAGTCCTCTTGTCTCAGCCTCTTGAGTAGCTGGGACTGCGGGCACGCACTACTATGCCTGGCTAATTTTTTATTTTTTGTAGATATGGGGTGTTGCTATGCTTCTCAGGATGGTCTTGAACTCCTGGCCTTAAGCAGTCCTTCCACCTCAGCCTTCCAAAATGATGAGATTCTAGGAGTGAGCTATTGTGCCCAGCCCCCACCTACAGATTCTGAACACTTCTAGTGTGTACCTTTTTGTGGTTGGTTTTGGTTCCATTTCTTTGCCTTTTTAGAAACTCCTTATTTCAGGGAGCGTTGGTATGAATATTTCCGGTGGTGGGGGGAAGAGATAGTCTTTTTCTGTATTTAGAGATAAGCAGTTTCTGGAAAATAGGTTTCTGTTTAAGAAGTGGGTGTTTGGAGAGACTTAAATTAGGGCTTGTAAGATAGCCTTGGGATGTAAGTTTCTAAAAAGTGGCCCCCTCCACGAATGCTTTGTATAGTAACCCTTCATTCTTTTTTTTTTTTGAGACGGAGTTTCGCTCATGTTGCCCAGTCTGGAGTGCAATGGTGCGATCTCGGCTCACTGCAACCTCTGCCTCCTGAGTTCAAGTGATTCTCCTGCCTCAGCCTCCCAAGTAGCAAGGATTACAGGCATGCACCACCATGCCCGACTAATTTTGTATTTTTAGTAGAGATGGGGTTTCTCCATGTTGGTCAGGCTGGTCTCGAACTCCCAACCTCAGGTGATCTGCCTGCCTCAGCCTCCCAAAATGCTGGGATTACAGGCGTGAGCCACCGGGCCCGGCTAACCCTTCATTCTTGATCAAAGCGGGAATCTGTGCCAGACTTAAGGAGTAGCAAGGGCTAAAGGTTAGAGCACTGTGTCCTCCAAACTTTGAATTTTCAGTAGAGGTACTGTCTAATGCTAAGCACAGTTAACCAGTTGTAAATGGAAACCTTTCATGCAAATACTAAATTGGTTTTTCTCTTTTGCAGTCATACGGAAGATAAGCAGTGTTTCTTCTCCTGCGTTCTTCAGTCTTTAACCATTAGATGGTGCGCCGTTGCAGGGTGTGCACTGAGGTGGGAGCCGGGGCTGCAGAGATGAAAAAACACAGTCTCTCTCCTCAAGGGGCTCACAGGCTAGGCGTGGGGACAGATAGTTATAGAACAGTTAGTAAGGGCTGTGATAACTGTGACCTCTTGTGACACTACCGGGAAGGATATCTCAGCCAGATTGTGTGTGTGTGTGTGTGTGTGTGTGTGTGTGTGTGTGTGTGTGTGTGTTGACATGACCAGGAGCAGTGCGGATGGTTTTCCTGACATCAGGCTTCAATGTGTATCTCCCCTTTCGCTGTTAACTCTCAAAGATTACCAATTACATTACCCAACAGGAAGCCCCAGTGCTCCCCGCTTTAGCGGTGTGGGACCAAACTTCCATTGCTTGTAGACGCTGGTTGGTTCATTGCCCACATGCTGGAAGGGGAGGAAGGAGAGGAAGGGGAGGAAGACCTGGGGAAAGAGTCCAGGTGACGAGGTTAGAGGAGAGGATGGAGGGAGGTTATTTTCCGGGTGGAAGAAGAAAAGAGAATTCACACAGACTGAACATTTATTATGTTCCACATTCTCCTTCCATGACCTTTTTTTTTGTTTGTTTGAGACGGAGTTTCGCTCTTGTCACCCAGGCTGGAGTGCAGTGGCGTGATCTTGGCTCACTGCAACCTCTGCCTCCCAGGTTCAAGCGATTCTCCTGCCTCAGCTTTCCAAGTAGCTGGGATTACAGGTATGCATCACCATGCCCAGCTAAGTTTTTGTATCTTTAGTAGAGACAGGATTTTGCCATGTTGGCCAGGCTGGTCTCAAACTCCTGACCTCAAGTGATCGGCCAGTCTCGGCCTCCCAAAGTGCTGAGGTTACAGGCGTGAGCCACTGTGCCCGGCCTCTTAACGTGATCTTAAGCAACTCACACAACAACCCTGTCAGGTAGGTGGTGGTGGAATCCTCATTTTAAAAAATAAATAAGTAAATAAAAAATAAAAAACCAAAGCTCAGACGTTAATTAGCTGTGTTACCGAGAGGTTACACAACTTGTCCACGGAAAAGTGTCTTGAGGAGAAAAGTGACCTACCTTATCTGCCCACAAAAGCCCGGCTTCTGTTAGAGGAGAGTGCAAATGCCAGTTCCTCTCCAGAGCGGGAAACCCAGATGGGGAAGGTGGATGCCTCGGTCCACTCCATGTCTCTCTGTGGCTGCCCTCCCTGCTGGCGAAACCCTGTGCTTCCCAGAGTGCATGAACATCGCATCCCCCTGGAAGGCACCCTGATGTCATTCGGCCTGTGTCATTATGTGATCCCGGCTTACCAGAATCCCTGCTGTCTTCACCTTTGACTTCCGCGCTAAGCCTAACAGCTTCGGCACATCCTAGGAGATTAAGAATCATCTGATGGATTGAAAGGGACACTCAGGGACCTGGAAGCCAACTTTATAATCTGTAGTGAATTTTTTTTTTTTTTTTGAGATGGAGTCTCGCTCTGTCGCCCAGGCTGGAGTGCAATGGCGCGATCTGGGCTCACTGCAACCTCCGCCTCCTGGGTTCAAGTGATTCTCCTGCCTCAGCCTCCTGAGTAGCTGGGATTACAGGCACATGCCACCATGCCCGGCTAATTTTTGTATTTTTGGTAGAGATGGGGTTTCATCATGTTGGTCAGGCTGTTTTTTTGTTTGTTTGTTTTTCTTTTCTCACTTGCAAGCTAACAAGTTAAGTGAATTGTGTTTATCTTGAGCTCTGCAGAGACAAACACAACCTTTGTGGAATGGTGCTTTAGGGGACATTGGCGTGGAGTGGGACAACAAGATAAGTGCTTTTGCTGGATGGTGTTCGTATCGTGGCTTGCTTGGACAGGTGTGGTGGGCAGATTAATGGCCCCCCGAAGATGTGCACATCCTCATCCACAGAACCTGTGACTGTGCTAGGTCATATGGCAAAGGCGAATTAAGGTTACAGATGGAATCAAGGTTGCTGGTCTACTGACCTTAACATAGGGAGATTATCTGGATTATCTGAGTGAGCCTGGTGTAATCACAGGGGTCCTTAAAATTAAGAGGGAATCAAAGAGAGAACCAGAGAGTGAGCAGCAGAGGAAGGATGTCAGCTGCTGTTGGCAGCTTTGAAGATGGAGGAAAGCCACGGGATTGGGAATATGGGCCCCTCAGAGCTGGAAAAGGCGAGGGGACGGGTTCTCCCCCAGAGCTTCTGGGAAGAACGCAGCCCTGCTGAATCTTGTGAGACCCAAATCAGACCTCTGACCTCTAGAACTGTAAAATCATAAAGTCTGTTGTTCTAAGCCACTAAGTTTGCGGTAATTTGTTACAGTGACAACAGGAAACTCATCTTCACTCTTCTCCCACCACAGGAGAGCAGAGGAGCCCACCCCGGGCTTAAGATTGAGCTATGCCGTGGGTCCTCGGCACCAGCGAGGGGATCTAGTGATAGGAGGGCCCTGGTTATAAAAGGAAAGGTCTGTAAAGTGGATCCTTGTTCCCTGGTATAATTTCTATAATAGAAGTGTTGTAGAAAGTTAATTTTCCTTTTTTTAAAGGATTTATGTGATGGCTGATGAGAGCCTGAGCTCTCATTCCCTAGAATCAAATTACTTCTTGGGTAGAAAATGTGCAGTCCAGATAGCCAGTGTCTTAGGTGATTACTTTCTGTATTTTGTTGGAGTTCTGTTGTCTGTGATTAGAATTCAGGCCACAGGGTGTGTGTTTTTGGCAGAGTTCTCTAGCCGCGTGGATCAGGGACCCTCGTGCTGGCCTGTGGAATGGGGTGCTGGTCACCTCATGCTAATTCCAGGACTTCGAGGACTGGCCGATTTCAGTGGAGACTGGTCCTGGGTTCCAGGCAGTGCTAGGTCCCCCGCGGGGGAGATGCTCTTCTTCACTGTCCGGCCAGACGCCTTGAAGAGACTGACTCTCACAGGCCAGCCCTGCCGTCTTTGCAGCCCTGCTTCTTGTGCTGCCGCCGGCTGTCACCCACCACCCTGTTTCTTTTCTGGTACAAAGCTCTGCCCCTGGGAGCTTCTGGATCCGCCCAGCTTGAGCCTGCCAGGGCCTGTGTCTCACATATGGACCTTGCTATGAGCTTCCTGGGACCATCAACACTCTTGGCGGTTGTCTAATTGAATTAGCCCCATGAGGGCTAATTGAGAGGGAGCCTGGCTGGCCGGGCCCCAGAGCATGAGGCTGGCTATGATCTGGGTTTGGCCGCCCCAGCACAAATGCTTTTTCCCTCCAGAAGTATTAATCAGGCACACCCTGTTGTGTGCAGGCACGGTTCTAGCCCTTGGGGATACAGTGGTAAGCAAGGCGGGTTAGTCCTCTCCCCTCATGGGACTTCCATGCTAGTGGGGGGATTGTCAGCACATCAGGTCTTATATTGTGAGTGCAGGCAAGAATAGAAAGAAGATGAAGGCTAGAGAGTACTGGGGCTGGGGAGGGTGGGTGGCTACTTTAGGCTGGGTAGAGAAGTCCTCTGGGGGAGGTGACCTTTCTGGGTGAACTCTGAAACCTAAGTGTCAAGTAGGAGCCAGGCACGATGGTCGTTCCAGGTGCGGGAAGAGGCCCAGGCAGAGGCCTTCGCTGGAGTGAGCTTGGCGCATTGCAAGGTTAGAAAGAAGGCTAGCTTGGTCAGAATGTAGAGGGCAGGAGTGAGTGGCAGGAGGTAAGATAGAAGAGGCAAGGGGCCTTGTGGGCCAGGGTAGGAAGTTAGGAGATGGTTTTGGTGGCACTGGGGAGTACTGGTTTATCTCCACAGGGCGGCTGGGGCCAGTCTACAGGAGACGGGTCTAGGGAGGGTGAGAGCAGGAGCGAGGCTACCAGTTGGGCGGTTGTGGAGCTCCAGCCTCAGACTAGGACGGTAGCAGCGAGGTGGTGAGGAGCTGTATTCAGGGTGGTTTTTGGACTTGCTGGTGAATTGGACCTGGCAGATGAAAGGAAGAAAGGAATCAACAGTGACTCTGAGGTTTGGCCTGAGCAGCTGGGGCCATTACTGAAATGAAGAAGGCTGGGCAAGGAGCGGTCAGCTGTGAAGCTGGGGTATGTCACGCTGAGGACACCACAGTGCACAAAGCTCGGCTGCCTGGGGGCTGCCCTGACAGCCAGAGCCGTGGGCGGGCAGCTTCCCTGAGAAGGGCTGAGGGCTGTCAGTGTGGTGGACATCACAGCCGCCTACTTTGCCCTACCCAGGTGCCCTAGGTTTCTTCTTGCTCCCCTGCCCCTCCCCCTCTGCTGTCCCTCTCCAGGGGAGGCTTTGGAGTTTGGAGCTTGCGTTCTGAGTGGCGTGGAATATGCATCTCCTGCGGGCTGTTTCTGCTCAGCTGAGTCTGGTGGTGCTGGAGAAATACTGTCTGCTTTGAATACCCTAGAGACCTCTCCAAGCCCAGCATTGTTGATGTATTTGGGAGCTGACTGCACCATCAGAAAAATCTTCTAGAAGGAGGCAGTAGAGAAGGGGTGATTTTGGTAGCTCCAGAAGGGGCTCCAGCATCTGGAGAAAGAATTCTAGGAAGAGGATTCCATGTCATCCGCCTTTAAGTCTCGGAAGTAAGCATGAAGAATCCCAGTGGTGAGGAGGAAAGGCTGAGGAGTCAGAAAAAGCTCCTACAAGAAGATGGAACAGCTCCTACAAAGAGGTGGCTGTGGGTAGAAGCAGCCGCCTGGGGCAGTTTTCAGGCTTTGGAGAAGGAAAGCAGCTTCTCTGTTGAGGAATATTCTGCAAGTAGGTGATCCACTTTGAAAGCTGGTTACTATTCCTTCCTTCTAGGCCTGTCGGTGGGGAAGGAGGGCAGCCGTGTTTGCTCTGCTCCCATGAGGCAAATTCGGTCACCAAAACAAAAAAACAGCTTCTTATGTAGAAAGCAGGGGAATTAGCCTAGTTTTCGGATATTCACCCAGTATTCTAGCTTTTTAAAGAACAGCCTGAAGAGGCTGGGTGCAGTGGCTCATGTGTGTAACCTCAGCACTATGGGAGGTTGAGGCGGGAGGACTGCCTGAGCCCAGGAGTTTGAGACCAGCCTGGTCAATGTAGTGAGACCCCCATCTCTACAAAAAAAAAAAAAAAAAAAAAAATTAGCTGGGTGTGGTGGTGCCTGTCTGTAATCCCAGCTGCTGGGGAGGCTGGGGCAAAAGGATCCCTTGAGCCCAGGAAGTGGAGGCAGCAGAGCTATAATCATACCACTGCACTCCAGCCTGGATGACAGAGCAAGACCCTGTCTCAAACAAGCAAACAAACAAATAGAACAGCCTGAAGAACCTCTTCATATGGTTACATGGTCACATGGTAACCAGCCCGTTCACAATGGGCTGCCTCATTTTAAGACTGGCAGTTGGGACCTGCCCAGATAGCTTGATACTGAGCTTTTTAAAGAAAGTGAATCAATAAATTCCTTTTATTTATTAAAAGGAAACGCTTTCAATGCATTCTTAAAACAGTATATAATTATCCTAGCTTGGTGTTTTAAACAACTGTTTTCTAGTTGAGTAGCAGGGTCTTTTAAATTGCCTCTTTTGTCTTTAAATTATCAAGCAGATCTTTCTCTGCCTTGAAGCAGAAAACTCTTTCATCCGTTTGTAGTCAGGCTTTTTTCTTTTTAACACAACTTTCTGTAAGTGTAATTTACATAGCATAAAATGGACCCATTGTAAGTGTAAGGTTCAGTGATTTTTTTTTTTAGTTGTGCAGTCATTGTCACAGCCCAGTGCTGGGACATTCCATCACCTCAGTAAGATCCCCAGAGTACATCCATGTTGTAGCACACATCAGGTGTTTAGTGCATTTTAATGCTGAATAGTCTTCAGTTTTTTGGATGTACCACATTTTGTTTTCTTGACATGTTTTTGAGGAGACACCTAGTACCTTTGTTATTCGGGTATTGACTTCCCATTTCCTGTAATAAGGCTCTTATAGAATCAGCTAGGAACTTCCTTACAGGATGAGAAGAAGGAAATGGCTGTGAGGTATGTGGAAAGATGATGGGATTGGAAGCCACAAGACAGTGGTGCGACTGGTTAGCATCTGCCCCTTAGCTCCTTAAGTCTTGGTGCCCATGAGGGTGGAGGATGCAAGAGAGAGAGGGTTAGACTGGAGTCATGGTTACCAACCTTACTCTTCTTCCATGGCTTTCTTTTTTGAAAGATATTACCTTAGGAACAAAGCGCATTCAGTAATTTAAAAAGAAACAAATTACCAGTATATGCCACAACATGGATGAATCTCAGAAACATTATGTTGAATGAAATAAGCCTTACCCAGCCGGGTGTGGTGACTCACGCCTGTAATCCCAACACTTTGCGAGGCCGAGGCAGGCAGATCATTTGAGGTCAGGAGTTCGAGACCAGCCTGGCCAACATGGCGAAACCCTGTCTCTACCGAAAATACAAAAAAATTAGCTGGTGTGGTGGCACATGCCTGTAATCCCAGCTACTCGGGAGGCTGAGGCAGGAGACTCTCTTGAAACCGAGAGGCAGAGGTTACAGTGAGCCAAGATCCCACCACTGCCCTCCATCCTGGGCAACAGAGCGAGACTCTGTCTCAAAAAAAAAAAACAAAACAAAACACATAACAAAATAAGATGGATTAATGGATGGAGAAATGGCTTAGTAGTTATAATTGTAAGAATTCAGGTGGTGGGTACTTGAGTATTCATTGTACAGTTCTTTCAACTTTCCCTGTATGTTTGATAATTTTCTTAATAAAATGTTAGGAAAATTGCATTTATTTGAAGGATGACCATCATGGCTTTATCATGAGCAAGTAAATACTTTTAAAAACATTGATCTACCTGAAGCTATCTTCCCAGAAATAAAAAATATTGAAAACAACTTTTGCAATGAAGTACTGATGCATGCTGCAACATGGAAGAACCTTGGAAACGCTGCACTAGGTGAAAGAAGCCAGACACAAAAGACCACGTATGTGATCTGTTGATGCGAAAGGCCTAGAGTAGCAAACTCATAGACACAGAAAGCAGAGCAGTGGCTGCCAAGGGCTGGGGAAAGGGAAAATGGATAGTCACTGCTAATGGGTTGTTTTTTTTTTGAGGCTGTGATGAAAATGTTCTAAAATTAGGGTGGCGATGGTTACATAACTCTGAATATACTGAAAACCACTGAACACTTTTAAAGGGTCACTTTGATGGTGTGTAAATTATGTCTCAATAAGCTGTTATTGTTTAAAAAATATTGAAAACAGTTCTGACTTTCAACATTATCTTTAGGAATCTGACTTGGGAAGTGCAAGATCAGATGATCTTGGAGATCTTAACTATGTCAGTGTCTAGAAATTCCATGATTCTTTATCTTTACTGTGTACAGTAAGTGGAGGAGTGTTTGGGAAAGTGACCTCCTTGGAGCATTCCTTCTAGACTGAAGATGACGTGGGAATTGGTTTCTTCAGCTTGCACCAGAGCTTGCCAAATCACTCTCTGTAAAGTTAGTTTGTTAAGACCTTTACGGCCGGGTGCAGTGGCTCAGGCCTGTAGTCCCAGCACTTTGGGAGGCCAAGGCAGGTGCATTGCTTGAGCTCAGGAGTTTGAGACCAGCCTTAGCAACATGGCAAAACCTTGTGTCTGTTTAAAAAAACAACAAAACAAAAAAAGACTTTTTCTTCTTTTATCTGGGTCAAGGGTCACAAACTTAAATGCTCACAAGGGCCAGGAAATAGGATATCTGTAAGGCTAAAAAGACCTTTTCTGTTATTTATTTTCCTCCTTTTCATAAAGTCATGGTTATGGAGAAATCTCTGTTTGTTATGAAAACCGTAAGCATCAACTGCAGTTGACTTGGTCTCAATGACAGGCGGTAGGGAGTAGTGGAGACTGTGGTGGTGAACTAGAGTGTTTGCTGAAAGAGCAGCCATCACTTAACTTCAGGTGATTCTTGCCATGTGGGAATGTGAGCCTAGTGTTATGAGATTCGACATATTTGAAAAACTGGAGGAAATCTGGATTTAAGGTCTGAATTCAGCTATTAGGTATTCTGGGGTTGTGAGTTTAATCTAGATTGAATCTGGTTTAGAAGTGAGTCTTGGCCTAAGCGATGAAGGCGGTGTGCTGTTTGCCACAGAACGGCTCTGGCACAAGAAATATTTTTTTTCCCCTTTCTTTTTCTTTCTTTTTCTTTTCTTTTCTTTTCTTTTTTCTTTTCTTTTCTTTGAGACAGGATCTCTCCCTGTCACCCAGACTGGAGTGCAGTGGCGCGATCTCAGCTCATTGCAACCTCCACATCCTGGGCTCAAACTGTCCTCCTGCCTCAGCCTCCCAAGTAGCTGGGACTACAAGGCATGCAGCACCATGCCTGGCTAATTTTTGTATTTTTTGTAGAGACAGGGTTTTGCCATGTTGCTCAGGTTGGTCTTGAACTCCCAAGCTCTAGCAACTCATCTGCCATGGCCTCCCAAAGTGCTGGGATTACAGGTGTGAACCACTGAGCCCAGTCAAGGTAGTTTTTTTTAGGTGTTCTTACACTACGTCTACCTTCTTGGCCCTGCTCTGTTTAAAGTCACAGGACCATAATCTTCTGAATACCAAATCTAAGACTGCCTGGTACACCCCAGAGGTATGCATGTGCCTAGGAGACGGTTAGTTACTCTGAGTTATGAGGAGCTGGGGTGATGATTTTAAGTATTCTTGTTCTGGGAATGGAGGGTATATTCTCCATTTTGTGAAATTCTTGGACTATAGGTTACATTCCATTTTAAGCTATCACCCCTCAGCATCACCACCATACTTGACTAAGGTGGGACTGTTTGCATAGGGTAATTTTGGGATGGGGGAAAGGGACAATACTTTGAACTCTATAAACGGTTGATTTGGCTGGAGTTGAAACAAAATTACAACATTAAGTTAGACTGAGGAGGGCTCTGTCTTGACTCTTGTTTAGTTTCTGACCTGCACATTTTATGTTATGTTACCTATCTTCGGCTTTGCTTCCCCAGTGTGTGTGTTGTTGTGTGTGATGTGTGTTGGTGTGTGGGATGTGTGTGGGGTGTGGTGTGTGTGGTATGTTTGTGTGGTGGGGTGTGTGGTGTGGGTATGTATGTGTTGTGTGTGTTGTGTGTATGTGTGGTGTGGTCTGTGTATATGTATGTGTGGTGTGTGTGTATGGTGTGTGTGGTGTGCATGTGTTGGTGTGTTTGCTGTGTGTGTTGGTGTTTGGTGTGTGGGATGTGTGTGGGGTCTGTTGATGTGTGTGTTGGCGTGTAGGGTATGTAGTGTGTGTAGTGTGTGGGGGTGGATGTCTGTGTGTGGTGTGTGTTGGTGTGTGGTGTGTGTAGTGTATGGTATGTGTTGGTGTGTGTGCAGTGCGGGTGTGGGGTGTGCGTTTGTGCTGTCTGTATGTAGTGTGTGTGTGGTGTGGGTGCGTGGAATGTGTTTGCAGTGTCTGTGTATTGTGTGTGTTGGTGTGTGGTGTGTGTTGGTGTGTGTGGTGTGTGGGTGGTTATGTGTGTGGTGTGTGTTGGTGTGTTATATGTGGGGTGTGTGTGTTGTATGTGTGGGGTGTGTGTGTGTTTGCGGTGTGTTTGGTGTGTGGTGTGTGTGTGCGGTGTCTGTGTTGGTGTGTGTGGGTGTGTGTGTGTTTGCAGTGTTTCTATGGTGTGGTGTTGGTGTGTGTGGTACGTATGGGGAGTGTGTGGGTATGTGTGTGCATTTTCTGGTGTTGGTGTGTGATTGTGTGGTGTATTGGTGTGTGTTGGTGTGTTTGTGGGGTGTGGGGGTATGTGTGTGCGGTGTCTGTGGTGTGGTGTTGGTGTGTTGTGTGTGTGGGGTGTGTGGGAATGTGTGTGGTGTCTGTGGGGTGGTGTTGGTGTATGTTGTGTGTGGTGTGTTGGTATGTGTTGGTGTGTGTGGGGTGTGGGTATGTGTGTGGTGTCTGTGTGCGGTGTGGTGGTGTGTGTGGTGAGTGCGGTGTGGTGGTGTGTGTGGTGTGTGGTGTGTTGGTGTGTGTGTTGGTTTGTGTGTGGGATGTGTGGGTATGTGTGTGCAGTGTCTGTGTGGTGTGTTGGTGTGTGTGGTATGTTGTGTGTGTGGGGGGGTGTGTGTTTGCAGTACACACTCACACATGCACACTTACTGCTTGTGCGGCCGCCTTGCACAGGTTCCTTAGGATTCCTGGCTCTGGCTTTTGGATCTGATTTGGAAAGGTGTTGGCAAGTAGCTTTATGGTTCTTAAGTGCCTTAGCATAGGCCTCGAATCCAGATTCAAATAGCGTTTGTATTTATCCGCCACACAGTGCTTCCTCTGCAGAGACATGTTTGCTGAAAAGTTGGGGAGTTCTTTAAAGCTTAGGACCTTACTTTTTGGAATTTGTCCACATCTTTCAGGCCTCCTTCCAGATTTTACTCATTGTTATTTCTCTATGTTCATAGTATAGTTTTTTTTTTACATTTTAAAATTAAAGTTAACCTTTTCTTTTCAAGTTGCATTTCAAATTATCATAGAAAATCAGAAATATAGGTAAAGCTAAAAGAAAGAAATAAAAATTACAACACCCAGAGATAACTTGTCAGTTCTCTAGTGTTTATCCTTATAGACCTTATTTTTTATTTTTATTTTTTGCATGGTGAGTATATATATATTTTCCTTATTTTTATTTTTATTATTATTTTTTTTTGAGACAGAATCTCGCTCTGTCGCCAGGCTGGAGTGCAGTGGCGCGATCTCAGCTCACTGCAACCTCCGCCTCCCTGGTTCAAGTGATTCTTCTCCCTCAGCCTCCCGAGTAGCTGGGACTACAGGCTTGGGCCACCACGTATTTTTTCCATTTAATAGAGTGTGAACATCCCTCCAAGCCACAAAATATCCATCTGCAATTTTTTATTTTTTAAAGATAGGTCTCACTTTGTTGCCTAGGCTGGGCTGCAAATGTGTGATCATAGCTCACTGCAGCCTTGAACTCCTGGGCTCAAGCAATCGTCCCGCCTCAGCCTCCCGAGTAGCTGGGACCACAGGTGTGCACCGCCACACCCGGCTTCTGCAGTGTTTCTTAGTGGCTGGATAGTATTTCATTGTATGGATGTACTACTATTTATTTTCTCTCTCTCTGTTGATCACCGAGAATATTTCGCTGGTGTTTTTGATAACGCCTCCCATGTTTCTAGGCCCCTGTTCCATTCATCTCTGTTTTCATAGCCCTGGTTGGCTACTTTCTCTGAAAATGTCTGCTTCCTCCTCCTTCCTGATAGGAGCCTTTACCCTGGGAAGCTTTCAAGTCTCTAAAAATGGCAGCAATTCTTATCACCACTTTAGGCACCCCTCCTTGTCCCACTGTCCCACCCTCCCAGGACAGGTGTGTCTAGGGGAATGGTGGTCAGCAGGCGCGGAGCTGAACGGTGGCCTGTTTATTCTGAGTCCGGGAGTGGAAGCTCCTGCGCTTTCACATTTGTCCAGCAGCCTGCTGTGGGGCAGGGGTAGAACGCACAGTCAGCAGCATGCCCGCAGGACTGATGCCGCAGCTTGCATGCCTTGTGGTGCTCTGCTGACAGACCCCCGAGGCTGTGACCGCGGTGTCCCCGAGGTGACTCCTGCCCTTGGCTGTTTGTTGTGCCTGAGGTAGGGAGAGCAAGGCTCTGTGAAAGTTGTGATTCCAGGTGTGAGTCCCCCCAGCTGGCGTGAGCTCTCACGTGGAACTGGAATGCTGCGGGTACATGTCCCTGCAAGTTACAAAACTGGGGAATGACTTGGTACATGGAAGGAAGAGCTGACTCAACGCTCTGAAAAATGATTTAAGTATTTTTTGTCAGATTGAGTCCGGAGATGCCGCTGTCTGGCTTGGCAGCCTTGCTTCTCAGCTGCTCGCTTGTGGTGCTTCCGTGGGCCTGTCTGTCCTAACACTTGCATTGTCAGAAGAGTGCTCGGCAGAGGAGCTTTTGGCCGAAGGCATGAGGACTTTGGTTATGGGTGTTTTTTTTGGGCGGACAGGGTCTCGCTCTGTCACCCAGGCTGGAGTGCAATGGTGTGATCACAGCTCACTGCAGCGTTGAACCCCTGTGCTTAAGCAGTCCTGTCACCCTGGCCTCACTACAGGTGTGAGCCACTGCACCCAGCCTTAATTTTAAAACATAACCAGGGCCAGGTTTGGTGGCTCACGCCTGTAATCACAGCACTTTGGGAGGCTGACGTGGGAGGATCACTTGAACCCAGGAGTTCCATATCATCCTGGGCAACATAACGAGACCCTATTTTTACAAAAACTAAAAAATTAGCCAGGTGTGGTGGCTCACACCTGTAGTCCCAGCTGCTCAGGAGGCTGAGGCGGGAGGATCTCTTGAGACCAGAAGTTGGAGGCTGCTGAACTATGATCACTGCACTCCCGCCTGGGTGACAGAGTGAGACCCTGCCTCTAAAAAAAAAAAAAAGTAATTAATTAATTAAAATTGCTCAGGCCCAGCTGTGTGAAGGCCGGTGTCCCCACACTGCCCACCATCCCCCTGCTGTGTTCTTGCTGAGAGTTCCTTACTGAGGGCTCCATTTCCTGGCCCGGTGGAATGCCTGCTCCCAGCTCCCTACTCTCCCAGGCTGCTCCCTTATCTATTGGGCCAGTCTCTGTTTCCCTTTAGTTTTGGAATCCATGGGTTCCCCCTCCCCACAAGAAACCTTGGCAGAAGGCTTTGTCCATAGGGAAGCAAAGAACCCAGTTAGCAGCTCAGCTCTGGCCTGGCCTTGGCCTTGACCTTTCACAGTACTGTGAGCCAGCAGGTAGGTAAGCTCACTGGTGCTATGCACGGCCTCCTTCAGATCCTTCTCAGGGCAGCCTACCAGAGACTGTATTTGCAGAGGAGCTGGCAGGGCCTGTGTGGAGCCAGCTGCGCTGCGCCTGATAAGTTTGTTTGCTTATCTTTGTTTGTGTGCTTGTTGCTGGCTCCTTGGAGCTATGGGTGTGTTTGTGGGGTGTTGGAGATGACTGACCCTGATTGGTAAAATAGGGATGAAGCGAGCAGGGCAGGGTGTGGTGTGAGAAATAATGTCATCTATTCTTCCGGTGCCCCCCACTTCTTCCCCACAGAGAGATTTTCCTTCTGTTCCCTGTCCTAGAGGGCCCTGGGGCAGCAGCTTTTAGGTTCTTGGAAAGATGGGGAGCAGCCACCCCCGCTGAGCAACTCAGATTGAGGTTGGGGTGTGCTGCCCTCCCAGACGACTGGAAGATTGACACAGCAGCGCTCTTTCAGTTCTTTGTTCTTTGTTGGCTGGGATCACTGGAAATATATCAGTGAGACTTAAATGTGTCCTGGGAGCTTGAGCTGCCCAGTAGGCGACCCATGGCTGCAGAACAGCCAGCTCCAGCAATGTGTCATCCTGGAAGGGCAGCTGGCCTGCCTTCTGTCAGGTCACATGGGTTGGCTGATGTTGGTTTCTGTGTAATTTTTTTCCTCCTTTTTAACATGGTGCCTCAAAGTCACGGGGACTTGAGGGTAGAAATTAGGAGGGAAGGGCAGGTTTTTCAGCTGGCTCTTGGGCTGTGCTTGACAAAGCCATCATTGTTTTGAATAAAGTGCCAGTTGGTGTGGTTTGCGTCGCTCCGGTGCTCTGAAATTGGCTTCTCTTCTTCCACCTCTGCTGCTGATCCTGGGGGTGGGCTGGGAGGAGGACCACTGGTTCCAGAGAAGAAACCACTTCCCTTTGCCTCCCTGCTCAGCAGGAGCAGCGGGAACAGCGTCTTAGGACAGTGAGTTAACTACTGCAGAGCAGCTGGGCGTGGTGGCTCACGCCTGTAATCCCAGCACTTTGGGAGGTCAAGGCGGGAGGATCACTTGAGCCCAGGAGTGTAAGACCAGCCTGGGCAACATAGCAAGATCTTCTACAAAAATTATTTAAAAAATTAGCCAGTCATGGTGGCATGTGCCCGTGGCCCCAGCTACTTGGGAGGCTGAAGTAGGAGGATGGCGTCAGCTGGGGAGTTTGAGGCTGCAGTGAACCATGATCGTGCCACTGCACTTCAGCTGGCCTAGGCAACAGAGCAAGGCCATGTCTCCAAAAAAACCAAAACAAACCAAAACAAAACCCCAAAACAAACAAACACAAAAACCAAACTATTGCAAAGCAGATTGCTGTCTCTTGGTCCAGAGGGCATCCTGGACCCCAGCTGTTGGCAGCCAGCGGGCATCCTGGACCCCAGCTGTTGCAGCCAGCCTTGCCTCTTGGTAATGCCCTGGGGGCATTGCCCTTCCAGGCATCGTGCTGCGCACTGGTGGCCCCAGCCTCACTTGGCCCTAGCCTGTTCCAGACATGAGACCGCCTGCTGTGGTCAGGTTCCCCACCTGCTGTCCCTGCAGCCCGGGCTGATTTCCCCAATGACCTTTTTGGTCTGATGTCTGTCCCTATCATGTGTATGATGCCTCAGGCTACAAATAACCAGCAAGAGAGAACAGTTCCTCTGCTGAACTCCCTCAGGGGGAGGAGCAGAGCCTCAGGGCTTTGGCTTTCTGATGCCAACTTAGGTTGCATTGTCCTACCTCTGCGCCTCCTTGGTTTCCTATTTGTGTGGCTATATGAGGAATAGTCCTCATATCCAAATATATTTGTGGAAATCCCAGCCCTGAAGGAGTTTAGGGCATTAGGAGAACTCCCTTGGTGGGTGGGAGGGTGGAGGCGGCTCACATGGAAAGGTGTTTGTAGTGAGAAGATGGAGACTACATTTCCTCCCCAAGTCAGGAACTTCGTTTCTCTGCATTTGAATCAATAGCTCTCCAAGTGCAGTGTGGTTATACCCCGACATTTGAAGAGCCAGGAAGGAGGAAATGCAGAGTGCAAAAACATGTCAGGTCTCTGCCCCAGACAGCCAAGTTCAAGTGTTTTTTTTTTCTCAAAGATGGAGCTGCAGTGCAGGAGGAGTGTAGACCTGGTGAACAGAGCTGGGTGGTCAGGTGGCAAGATGAAATGACCTTATCTACAGGGTTAGTTATTCAGACTGACTTGGGAAGCACCTCTGTGGTACCATTTGAGGAGCACAGAAGAATCTGTGAATGGATCTAAAATGACTTCTTTAGGTCAGTCCTTTGAGTTTTATGGGATTAAGGTTGGCTTGCTATTAAAATGTGTTTGTAAAAATACCTAATTTGCCCCTCTCTTAAGGAATAGAGCTTCCTTTGATATTAACCAGTTTTCTAGATCACTGTTTATTTTGTTTAATCATCTCTTTTACAAAATTAACCATTTTTAATGGGAAGTAGAAATCTGTCTCAAATGCATACTCATTTTTGCTGCTTTCTTGAACATATTGAACATAACTTTTGATTATTTAGAAACATATTTTTGAATATTATTTATTGCATTATTGTGGTAATCTTTCATTGTTAAGGTATATTGAATTCTCTGTTCAACAGTCCCAGACTTTCTCATGAGTTAGGTTTTCAACTTGAATGATCATCTCCTCTAGGCTTTTGGCTGTCACTTGCTCAGCAGTGAGTTTCCCTTTTTGTCTGGTGTCTCCCATTTTCTATTGGTTTGCATAACTTGTTAAATTGAGTGTAAAACAAGGGTAATTAACTTAGTGAGGGTTTAGAGACTCTCCTCTGAGTCAAGTGCACAGACCTTTGTTATCTATCTTGAATTACTTTTACTTACTTCTGGATAACTAAATTAAGCTCCAGATAATTGTGAGATAATGGTATACATACAGACTCCTTTTACAGAATACTCCGAAGCCATTATTAGCCAGTTATTAGCCAGTTACATCAGTGAATGTTGTTCACCAGATTAACTTGTATGTGTAATAGAAATTATCTGCAAATCTTGTGAAAGGGCAAAGATCCTCAACTCTTCAAAAAATTATAATATATTCTCATTTTTGAAATCTGGCAAATAAGTAAACTCAATCAACAGGGCAGACTATGTCCCCGGGCTAACTGAATTTTACTTTTTGCCAATTATGAGATGGACATTCACTTCTTCCCCTTTGCCAAGAGGAAATCATTCTGTGGAGGTTCTTTTCCTTCCTCCTCCCTCATCACATAGAGGTGTATGCTCATGGTCAAATGCAGGATTCAGACATTTTGGAAAGACAGGAAGAAAAGAGCCCTGGAAAGCTGCTCTTAGAGTTACACCCTGTTGTTTTGTCACTTTGCTTTTTTTTCTTTTTTTTTTTCCTGTGCCCATGTAGGTAAAAATAGACCTGCAGCATCATTTTCAGTTGTCTTTTGAAGAACAAAAGTTTTTAATTTTGAGAAAGTCTAATATATGTCTTTTTTTTTCTTTTCATGCTTTTTGTGTTGTATTTAAGAAATCTTTGCCAATCCAAGGCCTGTAAGATTTTTCTCCTGTATTCTCTTCAAGAAGTTATTTATTTATTTATTTATTTATTTTTTTCTTTTTTTTTCTTTTTTTTTTTTTTGAGACGGAGTCTCGCTCTGTCGCCCAGGCTGGAGTGCAGTGGCGGGATCTCGGCTCACTGCAAGCTCCGCCTCCCAGGTTCACGCCATTCTCCTGCCGCAGCCTCCCGAGTAGCTGGGATTACAGGCCCATGCCACCATGCCCAGCTACTTTTTGTATTTTTAGTAAAGACAGGGTTTCACCATGTTAGTCAGGCTGGTCTCGAACTCCTGACCTTGTGATCCACCCACCTTGGCCTCCCAAAGTGCTGGGATTACAGGCGTGAGCCACCGCGCCCGGCCTTCTCTTCAAGAAGTTTTATAGTTTTAGCTTTTACATTTAGGATGTGAACCATTTTGAGTTAATATTTGTATATGGTGTGAGGTAAGGGTTGTGATTCAGTTAAATAGTCCTTTGATGACTATCCTTGTTTATAGCTCTTCTCATTATACTTCTTAAATTATTTCCTTGAGATATATTCTCAAAAGTGAAACTACAAGATCAAAGTAGGTATTCACACTGAAGTCTGATATACATTGCAAGAGTAGTTTTCAAAAGTTGTATTAATTAGAAAAGACAGCCCCTAGAATGGGAGAACATATTGGCAAATTATATATCTATTAAAAGATGTATATTTAGAATATATAAAGAATTCTACAAATTAAAAAAAACACAAATAACCCAATTTAAAAATGGACAGAGGACTTGAATAGACATTTTTCCAAAGAAGATACACAAATGGCCAATAAACATGTGAAAAGATGTTTAATACCATTAATCGTTAGGGAAATGCGCTCAAAACCACAGTAAGAGGCTACTTCACAGCATTAGCCTGTGGAAAGTGTGGGAGAGCATCGAGATCCATTCCCTCTGTGTGCTGGTGGGAATGTACAATGGTGCAGCTGCTGTGGAAAACAGTCTGGCAACTCCCCAACACATTAAACATGGAGTTACCATGTGACCTAGCAATTCCCTTCCTAAGAATCTCCCCAAGAGAAATGAAAATATAGTTCCTACAAAAACTTGTACACAGATGTTCACAGAAGTATTAATCATAACAGCCAAAAGTTGGAAATAGTCTAAATGTCCACCAGCTGATGAATGGATTAAACAATGTGATATATCTGTGGATAGGAATATTATTCAGTGGCAAACAGGAATGGAATGCTGACACATGCTACAACATGGATGAGCCTTGAAAACATGACACAGAGTGAAACAAGTCAATCCCAAATGGTTACATACTATATGATTCCACTTATGTGAAATATGAAACGTCCAGAATATGCATTCATGTAGAGACAGAAAGTGGATCAATAGTTGTTTAGGGTCGAAGTGGAATAACTAAAGAGTGTGGGCATTTCTTTTAAATGCTCTAAAGTTGTGATGGCAGTTGCATAGCTCTCTGAATATATGAAACACGATTGAATTGTACACTATTTTTTGAGACAGGGTCTCGCTCTGTCACCCAGGCTGAAGTGCAGCGGCATGATCACGGCTCTCTGCAGCCTCGACCTCCCAGGCTCAAGGCATTTTCCCGCCTTGGCTTCCCAAGTAGCTGGGACTACAGGTGTACGCCACCATGCCTGGCTAATTTTATATGTATGTATGTATGTATGTATGTATTTATTTATTTATTTATTTATTTATTTATTTATTTATTTTTGAGGCAGAGTTTCACTCTTCTACCCAGGCTGGAGTGTGGTGGTGCAGTTTTGGCTCACTGCAACCTCCACCTTCTGGTTTCAAGCGATTCTCTTGCTTCAATCTCCTAAGTAGCTGGGATTAGAGGCGCCCGCCACCATGCCCGGCTAATTTTTGTATTTTTAGTAGACACGGGATTTACCATGTTGGCCAGGCTGATCTTGAATTCCTGACCTTGTAATCCACCTGCCTTGGCCTCCCAAAGTGCTGAGATTACAGGCATGAACCATTGCACCTGGCCTTTTTTTTTTTTTTTTTGAGACAGAGTCTCGCTGTGTCACCCAGGCTGGAGTTCAGTGGCACGATCTCGGCTCACTGCAACCTCTGCCTCTCTGGTTGAAGCAGTTCTCTGCCTCAGCCTCCCAAGTAGCTGGGATTACAGGTGCCCACCACCACACCTGGCTAATTTTTGTATTTTTTTTTTTTTTTTAGTAGAGACAGGGTTTCACCATCTTGGTCAGGCTCGTCTTGAACTCCTGACTTTATGATCCTCCCGCCTTGGCCTCCCAAAGTGCTGGGATTACAGGTGTGAGCCACTGTGCCCGGCCTAATTTTGTTTGTTTTTTTTTTTTTTTGTAGAGACAGGGTTTTGCTGTGTTGTCCAGGCTGGTCTCTAACTTCTGGGCTCATGTGATCCTTCCGCCTTGGTCTCCCAAAGTGCGGAGATTACAAGTGTAAGCTACCGTGCCTGGCCAAATTGTACACTTCAAATGAGTGAACTGTGTGGTATGTGAACTATATTCCAATAAAGCTGTTACAGAAAGCATGTGGTACCAATTAATAGTCCCACTAGTGTTATTTAAGAGGGTCCAACTCCTTACATTATCCCCAACCCTTGGGTATCATTACTATAATTTAAAAACTTCAATCAGCTCTATTAAGGTATAATATGTAAACAATAAAATTCACCCTTACAAGTGTACTGATTTATAGTTTTGGCAAATGTATGCACACATGTGACCACTGCAATCAATATACAGAACATTTCCATGACCCCAGAAGGTTCCCTCGCGCCCTTCCCAGGCATCCTCTCCTTCCCTATCTGCGCACTATCACTGTGAATCAGATTAGTCTTTCCGTGTGTTTTGTATAAATAGAATCAGACAGTTTGTATCCTTGTGTCTCGCTTCCTTTGTTCGGCATGTTTTTAAGACTTATCCATGTTGCTGTCTGCACCTGTAGTTAATATTCTGTCGTATAGATATAGCAGTGCGTTTTCTCCATTCATGTGTTGGTAGATGTATTTGATTTATCTTCAGTTTTCTTGTTTTTGGCTTTACCATAATTACCTTTTCTTTTTTTTTTTTTTTTTTTTTTGAGACGGAGTCTCACTGTCTCGCCCAGGCTGGAGTGCAATGGTGCGATCTTGGCTCACTGCAACGTCTGCCTCCCGGGTTCAAGCAATTCTCCTGCCTCAGCCTCTCGAGTAGCTGGGACTATAGGTGCCCGCCACCACGCCCAGCTAATTTTTTTGTATTTTTAGTGGAGATGGGGTTTCACCACTTTAGCCAGGATGGTCTTGATCTCCTGACCTTGTGATCTGCCCACCTCGGCGTCTCAAAGTGCTAGGATTACAGGCATGAGCCACCACACCCGGCCAGCCTTTTTTCTTGTAGAAGAATCCTTCTGCCTTCCCCCCGTGGCTCTGACCTTTTGAAGGGACTGGCCCAGTTGTCTTGAAGTCCGTCCCACAGTCTGCATTTGTCGTTTCCTGGTGAACATGTTTCCTTGCTCCCCGTGTTTCCTCTAAACCACTAAATCACGTGAGTCCTGAAAGGCTTTGTTAGATTTAGGTGAAACATTTTTGGTGGGTGCCTCATGGGCGATCACATCAAAGGTCCATACTGTCAGGTGGGCCCACTGTTGGTGGTGCTAAATTGGGCCATTTGGTTCAGACCTTGACAGCCACATCCTTTTTATCTCTGCAGTTAGTCACTGGGGAAGCTTCACTGATTGTGGAGCTCCTTACACCTTAAGGACTAAGCTTTTTTCCTAATGCCTCTCTCAGTTTGACACTTACCTTCTAACTTTGCTTATTGATTTTTTTTTTATTTAGAAGAGATTTTTCACGGGTTTTTTTTTTGGAGACGGAGTTTCGCTCTTGTTGCCCAGGCTGGAGTGCAGTGTTGAGATCTCAGCTCACCACAACTTCTGCCTCCCAGGATCAAGAGATTCTCCTGCCTCAGCCTCCTGAGTAGCTGGGATTACAGCCGTGCCCGGCTAATTTTGTATTTTTAGTGGAGATGGGGTTTCTCTGTGTTGGTCAGGCTGGTCTAGAACTCCCGACCTCAGGTGATCTGCCTGACTCGGCCTCCCAAAGTGCTGGGATTACAGGAGTGAGCCACCGCGCTCGGCTGATTTTTCACTTTTATGTGGTCAAAACACCCATGGTACAAAAGAGGTATCTCTCAAAAACTTCCCTTTTAGAGGCGGAGCTTGCAGTGAGCCGAGATTGTGCCACTGCAGTCCGGCCTGGGCTAAAGAGCGGGACTCCGTCTCAAAAAAAAAAAAAACTTCCCTTTTATAAGCCCTTTCCCCCCCTTCTTTTCCTCCTCTCTCTCTTGTTCCCTTCTTTCTCTGTCTGCTTTACTTTAGAACCTGATGTGACAAATTAGCTTTGATTCCTATTCTGTCATCGTTTTGGACTATAGGTTCAGACTATAGGTTCACACTTAAGTGTGAGATGTTGGCCAACTGGCATTTCCATCGCTTCACTTGCTCTTCTTTTTCAAGGATTTGCCTGTTGCCCAGGCCAGCCCCTGGCTGGGAAAAGTAGCAGCAAGGTTGGGACTTTGATCCTAGGCTCTGCACTGTGGGTGGTGTTATCTCAACTTATCCTCTGTCTTCAAAGCTGCAGACCCATTTATGGTGGTGATGGAGAAGGGAGGGAAGAGCATGGGCCAGAAGCCAAAGCTGCTCGTTTCTGGAGAAGGCCTCCTGATTCCCTCTGCCTGAAACCCTTTTCTCTCCCTTCTTTCCCTGGTTAACTCCTGCCCGTCCTTGGAGACTCCGCTCAGGCATCCTAATTAAGGAAAACACCACTGGGTGCCCCTCCATTGCACTTCCATACACTCCACACATGCCTTTGCTCACTCAAAGGAAGACCTTTCTGTCTTCTGCATTAGCTCGTGAGGTCCTGAGGGCAGAGCCAGGGATGGCATTGTCACTGTGTTGTCACTGTCTGTGCAGAGCCTGACACATCGGGCTTTTGGTAAGTGTTGCTGGGATGTTCCACTCCCTGGCCTGCAGAGGGTTTCTGTATGGTGTGGATGCATTTGATTCCTGGTGGTGAAAGCAAGATGGAATCGCAGGTTCTTTTTTTTTTTTTTTTTTTTTTTTGAGATGGAGTCTCACTCTGTCATCCAGGCTGGAGTGCAGTGGCGCGATCTCGGCTCACTGCAACCTCCGCCTCCCGGGTTCAAGTGATCCTCCTGCCGTAGCCTCCTGAGTAGCTGGGACTACAGGCCTGCACCTCCAAGCCTGGCTAATTTTTGTATTTTTAGTAGAGATGGGGTTTTACTATGTTGGCCAGGCTGGTCTCAAACTCCTGACCTCAGGTGATACACCCACCTTGGCCTCCCGAAGTGCTGTGATTACAGGTGTGAGCCACAGCACCCGGCCTTCACTGCTCTTGATTCCCATAGATTCATGGAGCTGAAAGAGAGGTAGCAGCATCAGCTGCACCAGCTGCACTAGCTTCCGGGTGCAGGACTCCAACTGGGCCCACGCCTCTCCTCTGAGAGCACTGGCAGGGGTTCAACGTCACCAGCCCTCCTCCTTGTGTTCTCCTCTGTCTGTCGCCCTCTCCCAGGTTGTCCACTCTGTAGCTTGACTAAGAGGCACTTGATAAGGGTCACTGCTGTGAAGTGTGCCTGAGAGCTGATGGTGCAGGCAGTCATCAGGCCCTTGGTGGCATTTCCTCGTGGCGGGAGCTGGGGGTTCAGGTGACAGGACAGCTGTGAAACCCCCAGCTGCAATTCCTGTGTAAGGGCTAATAAAGACATTTCTGCCTGTGCTGTCGCTCTTGGTGGGATGCATTTGCATTTTCCTGGATGTACCTAATCTCACAGCTCTGGTGCTCTCCAGCTCCGCAGCACCTTTGTTCAGCATCCCCCCACAGTCGTTCCCCCTCTTCCCATCCAGAGTCACGGTGAGGCTTGGCCACAGTGGCCTAGAGGCTTTAATTGTGCGGTTCCCACAGCACAGTGAGTCAGACAGCCCTGAACGTCTTGGGAAGCATCAGCTGAATGTATGAATTCTTTTTACTGAGAACCTCCTGTGTTCCAGATAGAAAGTCAGTCTGCTCTAAATACCTGGCTTCATTTCATTCTTACCACAGCTCTGTGAAGTAGTTTTCTTTTTTTCCCAAAGAAAGTGAAGTTCTGAAAGGCCAGGTGTCTGTCCAAGGCTGCAGAGCTGGCAGGCAGTTGGACACTGACTGCCCTCTCCCGGCTCTCCTGTGGCTGGTGGTGACAGGGTGGTTAGAAAAGTGTCTTTTCCGAGTTGGCCCTGATTGAAAAGGGGGATTTGGGGGGACATTGTCCTCCCCCAGCTCTCCTGTGACCAGTGGTGACAGGGTGGTGATAAAAGCATCTTTCTGAGTTGGCCTTGATTGGAAGGTGGGGGGTTGCGGGGACACTGCCCTCTCTGGCTCTCCCCTGGCCGGCGGTGACTAGGTGGTAATAAAAGTATCTTTCCAAGCTGACCCTGATTGGAAGGTGCGCCATGTGTCCCCTGCGAAGGGCAGCCTGGCCTGTGATGCTGCTGATGGAGAAGATGAATTTTTATGACATTAAGACAGAATCAGGGCCGAAAGGGGTGGTTCACACCTGTAATCCCAGCACTTTGGGAGGCTGAGGCGGGTGAATCACGAGTTCAAGAGATCAAGACCATCCTGGCCAACACGGTGAAACCTCGTCTGTACTAAAAATACAAAAATTAGCCAGGTATGGTGGCGGGCATCTACAATCTCAGCTACTCAGGAGGCTGAGGCAGGAGAATGGCTTTAACCCAGGAGGCAGAGGTTGCAGTGAGCTGAGATAACACCACTGCAACTCTAGCCTGGCGACAGAGCGAGACTCCATCTCAAAAAAAAAAAAAAAAAAAAAGACAGAATTAGATTTCCTCAGTAAAATCTGGGATTTTGCCATCAGAGGAATCATATTATCATTCTTCCTTATGTCAGGAAAGGGTAGCAGGCCCTTGTACATAACACGAGGACTGAAACTTTATAGTCAAAAAATCAACATAAATGGTTGGCTTCAAGTTTTGTTCATAATTACTCTCTCCCTGCTCGACTCCTCCCCACCTCTAAATGCACGCTGGCCCCCAAAGATCTGCAGGAAGGAGAAGACACAAAATCTCCTTCCCATGTGGGTCACGCCCTTTCATTAGTCCGTGAGCTCCTGCAAGGCCTGTGTTTTGCTTTCACTTGTGTGTGGAGGGAACCAGCAGTACATCAGGGACTTCGGTTTTGAGAAATGAGTGCCCATCACTGTCTAGGCAGACTTCTTTTTCCTGCTCTGTAGTTTTTCTTAAATTATGTGTGTCTTACAAATTCTCATTCCATTTTAGTCTATTCTTCCAGGAGGCCTTCAAGCAGGGGTAAATGAAAGAGAGAGACATTAGTCACTCTGACCTTGACTTTTAGTGACTAAACCTGTGCTCACCCTCATGTGAAACTATAAAAAATATAATTTCCTTTTTAGGTGGCACAATCTCAGCTCACTGCAACCTCTGCCTTCCGGGCTCAAGTGATTCTCCTGCCTCAGCCTCCTGAGTAGCTGGGATTACAAGCGTGCACCACCACACCTGGCTAATTTTTGTATTTTTAGTAGAGATGGGGTTTCACCATGTTGGCCATGCTGGTCTCGAACTCCTGACCTGAAGTGTTCTGCCCACCTTGGCCTCCCAAAGTGCTGGGATTACAAGGCGTGAGCCACCACGCCCAGCTAATTTTTGTATTTTTAGTAGTGACGGGGTTGCACTGTGTTGGCTAGGCTGGTCTTGAACTCCTGACCTGAAGTGATCCGCCCGCCTTGGCCTCCCAAAGTGTTGGGATTATAGGCATGAGCCACTGTGCCCAACTACTTTTTGTATTCTTAGTAGTGATGGGGTTTTGCCATGTTGGCCAGGCTGGTCTCGAACTCCTGGCCTTAAGCGATCCACACTGGGATTACAGGTGTGAGCCACCGTGCCTGGCCCAAATTGTTGCTTTTCACAGACAGGAAAGAAATGTAGATATATGGAATGCTGACAAAGATGTAATCCGTTCATACGTCTCAGGAGAGACAGAAGGGCTGTTTGACCTCAGATGGGTTGGCTGAGGAGATTTGCAGCATGTCTGAAATACAAAAACTGTTTCTACAGCTTGCCTTCGATTTAGAGTAGGCTCCAACTCTTCTGCCCATCCCAAACTCCTTTGCTACTTGGAAGGTTAATAAGTTGACTAAAAAACACCCATGGGAAGAGGATGCAAAGGAGAGATTTAGGTTGACAACTGATTCTCAGTAGCAGATGGGAGAAAGCATCTTTAGCAGGCAAAGGGAAAATGGATTTTATTTTGGAATTTCTATTATGTGATGAGGGCAGTACAAAGTTGTTCGTATGCTTTTTTGAATCCTCTTCCTCAAATAAGCCAGAATCCTGTGGTTGCAGTGGGTGTTACAGGATCCAGCTATTCTTCCTTTTGCCGAATGGAAGTGGGTGTGACCCCAACGCATCCCTGCTCTGGGTGCCTCTCATTTTTATTCTTTAGGGCCAGGAACTCTCTTTCTGGGGAGGGATACAATTCCAGACCCTTAAAACTGAAAATAATTGGGAACAATCTTTACTGAATTATCTCTTGTCTCAAAAAGGGAAAAACCTATTTAAAGCCTATTTAGGTTTAGGGTCAGGTACGGTGGCTCACGTCTGTAATCTTAGCACATTAGGAGGCCGAGGCAGGAGGATTGCTTGAGGTCAGGAGTTCGAGATCAGCCTGGGCAGCATGGGGAGATGCTTATCTCTCTTTTTTTTATTTTTTGAGACAGAGTTTTGCTCTTGTTGCCCAGGCTGGAGTGCAATGGCGCGGTCTTGGGTCACTGCAACCTCCGCCTCCTGGGCTCAAGCAATTCTCCTGCCTCAGCCTCGTGAGTAGCTGGGATTACAGGTATGTGCCACCACGCCCGGCTAATTTTGTATTTTTAGTAGAGACAGGGTTTCTCCATGTTGGTCAGGCTGGTCTCAAACTCCCAACCTCAGGTGATCCACCCGCTTCGGCCTCCTAAAGTGCTGGGATTACAGGTGTGAGCCACTGCACCTGGCCTGGGAGACGCTTATCTTTACCAAAAAAATTAAAATTTAGCTGGGCATGGTGGTGCATGCCTGTAGTCCCAAATTCTTGGGAGGCTGAGGTGGGAGGATCACATGAACCCAGTAGTTCAAGGCTGCAGTGAGCTATGATCATGCCACTGCACTCCAGCCTGGGCAACAGAGCTAGATCCTGCTCTTCAAAAGAAAAAAAAATAAAAAAAGGGCTGGGCGCAGTGGCTCACGCCTGTAATCCCAGCACTTTGGGAGGCCAAGGTGGGCGGATCACGAGGTCAGGAGATCGAGACCATCCTGGCTAACATGGTGAAACCCCGTCTCTACTAAAAATACAAAAAATTAGCCGGGCGTGGTGGCGGGCGCCTGTAGTCCCAGCTACTCAGGAGGCTGAGGCAGGAGAATGGCGTGAACCCAGGAGGCGGAGCTTGCAGTGAGCCGAGATGGCGCCACTGCCCTCCAGCCTGGGTGACAGAGCAAGACTCTGTCTCAAAAAAAAAAAAAAAAAAGTCTATTTATAGGTCTTGGCTACCTGGCGAGTGTTACCTTATCCTTTTAAATGCATCAGACAGCTTCAGATTTCTTTGACTTGTAAGTAGGCTGTGTAGCTGGCAGTGCCTTGAAATGACTAATAGTGGTGATAATATCAAATTTGTTTTTTGTCAGTCTTCATAGGTGCTTAGAAACATTTGCAAGTATGATCTGTTTTTATTACATCTCTGGTAGCCAATTTCTAGAGTCTTGACTCCAGGTGTGTACTCTGGCTAGAGAATGCTGTTCCTTGATTTATTGCCTCTTTAAGCCAGGTGTCTGCAATTGGGTAGAGTTTTTCATTCTTTACATAAACATTTTACCTTGGTGAATATTTAAACCAACTACCAACTGAATTACCTTTTTATGAAGGTGCTAGGGAAAAGCTGTATTCTTTGGGGACAGTCATGCTTAGTACTGAATATAATGGAAACCTTTCCCTGCTGCCTGTGGCTTAGCCGTTTGGTCAGGGTGAGGGTGGCAGCTGCCATATCAGCTAGGTGGGGCTATGTCAAACACAATAAAATGAGGATAGTGCTTGTGTTTGAGTGGTATAACTGCGTGATTTGGTTTTGTTTTGCTGTTTTTTCTTTCTAAATTTCCTTTTTATATTATTTAGAAATGTTAGAAAAATATGATCAGAAATGTGAAGGAGGTTCATGAAGCAAATTATAGCAAACCAGATAGCTTTGGATTTCTCTTTTTAAGTAGGTTAAGTAGTGTAAGTAGAATAACATTCCTTAATTTGGTATGGTGATGGCCCAATTTGAAGTGGGGTGCTGCCTACATTAATTGATTTATTAAACATAATCCCAATCAACATATTAAAATAGTTTTCTTTTTTCTTTTAGAATAGTTTTATTTTGAGATTTGTCAACATGGTCATAAAGTTCACTTGAAAGAATAGTAGGCAAGAATTCTAAAATTGTTTTAAAAGATGATGGGTGCTAACCTTACTTAGATAGTAAAGTATAGCACAGAGTTGTGGTGATTAAATTAGTGTGATGGCAGCACAGGATTGGACACAGGTCAGTGGTGATGCAGGGCCCAGAACAAGCCCTGGTATAGGTGAAGATGCAACATATGTTCAGAGAAGTGTCGTAAGTCATTGTGGGAAGATGAGACAATGAGATAACTAGTTGGAATTTGTTTTTGTGAGCTGTGTAAAGAACTAAATTGATTTTCTCCCCAGATGAATCAGAGTTATGTAAAAAGTGAAATCATTAAAAATGTATGTACAGGCCGGGCGTGGTGGCTCACGCCTGTAATCCCAGCACTTTGGGAGGCCAAGGCAGGCGGATCACAAGGTCAGGAGGTCGAGACCATCCTGGCTAACACGGTGAAACCCCATCTCTACTAAAAATATATATATAAAAAAATAGCCGGACGTGGTGGTGGCGGGCGCCTGTAGTCCCAGCTACTCAGGAGGCTGAGGCAGGAGAGTGGCCTGAACCCAGGAGGCAGAGCTTGCAGTGAGCCAAGATCGTGCCACTGCACTCCAGCCTGGGCAACAGAGCGAGACTCCATCTCAAAAAAAAAAAAAAATGTGTGTACAAAACCCATAAGAAACAACATCCAGAAGTGGTCCCAAATATATGTATCTATGGGAAGGGGGTGTATGATGAAGATGGACCTTTAGTTTAATGGGGAAAGATGGATTATTTAGGAAATCTTACCTAAAGCAGGATCCCTACATCATCCCTGTACATTCATTCCACCAAATAAATCCTAGTTGGCTTTATTGAATTGAATGTAACAAGGGAAGCCGTGAAAGTTCTAGAAGGAAATAGGTAAGTGTTTTCAAAGTCTTAGGCTAGGAAAAGCCTTGTTAAGTACGACACAAAAAACAGAAGCATAAAAAAAGGACTTCTAAATTTTGACTATGTTAATGAAAATTAGTGTTTATCACAGCATTGTTTATTTGAAACAGCACGTCTGTTAATATAAATGTATGTCTGTGGGGAAATGGTTAAGTAGATTATGATAAATGTGTACAGTGAAATATTCTGTATATAAAAATAAAATAATATAAAACTTTATTGGCATAAGATGTCTGTGACATATAAGTGAAAAATGGGTTATAAAACAAACCTGTTCCTACCTATTTAAGCATTATGTTATTCATATATATATGGATTTTTTGGTTTTTTCTTTTTGTTTTGAGACAGGGTCTCACTCTGCCACGCAGGCTAGAGTACAGTGGTGAGTTCACAGTTCACTGCAGCCCTGCAGCTTCCACCTCCTGGACTCAGGTGCTCCTCCCACCTCAGCCTCCCGAGTAGCTGGGACTACAGGCATGTACCACCACACCTGGCTAATTTTTGTATCTTTTGTAGAGATATGGTTTCGCCATGCTGTCCAGGCTGGTCTCGCTCTTCTGGGTTCAAGCGATCCACCCACCTCAGCCTCCCAAAGTGCTGGGATTACAGATGTGAGCCACCACATCCAGCCTATTTATATATTTTTATCTTTATTTATATACATACATAGTCAGATGAATATGTATTGCCAAGACTTAAGGGCCAACTTCAGAGTTAGAACAGTCCATATAACTGCCTTCATTTCTTTTTTTTTTTTTTTTTTTTTGAGACGGAGTCTCGCTCTGTCGCCCAGGCTGGAGTACAGTGGTACGATCTCAGCTCAGTGCAAGCTCCGCCTCCCAGGTTCATGCCATTCTCCTGCGTCAGCCTCCCGAGGAGCTGGGAGTACAGGCACCCGCCAGCATGCCTGGCTAACTTTTTTGTATTTTTAGTAGAGACGGAGTTTCACTGTGTTAGCCAGGATGGTCTCGAACTCCTGACCTCGTGATCCGCCCGCCTCGGCCTCCCAAAGTGCTGGGATTACAGGCGTGAGCCACTGCACCCGGCCTTTTTTTTTTTTTTTTTTGAGACAGCATTTCACTCTTGTTGCCCAGGCTAGAGTGTAATGGCACAATCTTGGCTCACCGCGCAACCTCTGCCTCCCAGGTTCAAGTGATTCTCCTGCCTCAGCCTCCTAAGTAGCTGGGATTACAGGCATGTGCTACCACACCCGGCTAATTTTTGTATTTTTAGTAGACAGGGTTTCATCATGTTGGCCAGACTGTTATCAAACTCCTGACCTCAGGTGATCCACCCACCTCAGCCTCCCAAAGTGCTGGGATTACAGGCGTGAGCCACTGCGCCTGGCTGACTGCCTTCATTTCTAATACCAAATGCAAGTTGGGGAGTTCCCAAAACCACCCTCAGTTTCAATAATTCACTAGAAAAACAGAACGCACTGAAAAGTATTATATTCATGGTTGCAGTATATTATAAGGAAAGGATTCAAATTAAAATCAGCCAAGACGCAAGTTTTTACTGGACTTGATCCATTCTACCCCTGTGGTTGACCTTTAGTTTCTAGCCCCGCCCAGATGTCTGGCTAAGACCTTTAGTTAGCCTTTCCTCTGGAGGTTGGAACTGATACCCTGTGCTCCAGGCCCCCATTGTAAGTCAGATTGGTAACTGTTCTGTGGCCAAAGCCCCCAGGCAAACAAAGACACTCCCATCAGGCAGAACTAATTTCTAATTCCAGGGGCCTAGAATTCACCTCCCAGCAGCCCAGGGCAAAGGCTTGACCTCTCTTTGGGAAGGTGACTTCTTTTTTTTTTTTTTTTTTGGTGGGGGGGGACAGGGTCTCACTCTGTTGCCCAGACTGGAGTGCGGTGGCACGATCTCGGCTCACCTCAACCCCCACCTCCCGGGTTCAAGCGATTCTCCTGCTTCAGCCTCCTGAGTAGCTGGGATTACAGGTATGCGCCACTACTGCCCGGTTAATTTTTTTATTTTTAGTAGAGATGGGGTTTCATCATGTTGGCCAGGCTGGTCTTGAACTCCTGACCTCAAATGATCCACCTGCCTCAGCCTCCCAAAGTGCTGGGATTACAATCGTGAGCCACCGCACCCAGCCAGGAAGACTACTTCTTTGCTACACAATATTATCACCAAAATGTAACAGGTTATTTCTAGGTGGCGGAATTGAAGGTGAGTTTGCTTTTGTTCTTTGCACTTTTCCTTTTTGTTTGAATTTTCTTTTATTATGGATAGATATATATTTTAATCAATAAAACTACAAAAGCTTAAAAGATAAAAGTGAAAACTAAATCTCTGAACGGGTGGGAGGGCAGGCAGGGAAGCAGTACAAGAAATTCTAAAGAAAAACCAGTAGTGGCTGGGCGCGG
Organism: Homo sapiens; assembly: GCF_000001405.40. Taxonomy (NCBI): domain Eukaryota; kingdom Metazoa; phylum Chordata; class Mammalia; order Primates; family Hominidae; genus Homo; species Homo sapiens. The sequence continues at coordinate 56,275 of NW_011332697.1, forward strand.
TGTCTCACGCCTATAATCCCAGCACTTTGGGAGGCCGAGGCAGGTGGATCACCTGAGGTCGGGAGTTCAAGACCACCCTGGCTAACATGGTGAAACCCCGTCTCTACTAAAAATACAAAAAATTAGCTGGGCATGGTAGCGGGCACCTGTCATCCCAACTACTCAGGAGGCTGAGGAGGAGAACTGCTTGAACCTGGGAGGCAGAGGTTGCAGTGAGTGAAGATCGCACCATTGCACTCCAGCCTGGGCAACAAGAGCGAAACTCCTTCTCAAAAAAAAAAAAAAAAAGACCAGTAGAGATGACTACACAAATATGTAACCTACATTCAAAAGACATGCCATAAAAACAAGTAAAAGACAATGAAAATCCTAGGGGAAACATTTGCAGAAACATCACAAAGCATTAGTACCACTAATATTATAATATTGCGAATATAAAATAGCAAGGGAAACAATGGCTGACACCTGGGCACAGCTGTAATCCCAGTACTTCGGGAGGCTGAGGTGGGCAGATCACCTGAGGTCAGGAGTTCAAGACCAGCCTGGCCAACATGGCAAAACCCTGTCTCTACAAAAACACAAAAATTAGCCAGGCATGATGGCAGTACCTGTAATCCCAGCTACTTGGGAGGCTGAGGCAGGAGAATCACTTGAACCCGGGAGGTGGAGGTTGCAGTGAGCCAAGATCATGCTGCTGCAATCCAGCCTGGGTGACAGAGCGAGACTCCATCTGAAAACACACACACACACACACACACACACACACACACAACATTGACATTTCAATGACTGTAAATGACGTGTAGTCTGTTTACCAGTAATGTCCCAAAGCCAATTTCCCGGCTTTGACATTGTGCTCCAGCGATACAAGAGCCACCACTGGGGAAAGCTGGGTGAAGGGTACGTGGAGCTCTTTGTTCCATTTGTGTGACTTCCTGAGAGTCTATAATTACTTCAGAATAAGTTTTTTTTTAATTTTATTATTATTATACTTTAAGTTTTAGGGTACATGTGCACAACGTGCAGGTTTGTTACATATGTATACATGTGCCATGTTGGTTTTTAGAAAAGGCAAAGGGCATGGGCAAACAGCTCAGAAAATATGGGGCACATGGCTAACGCGCAGGTTTTTAATTATGAAATTTCATTAACAAATGATGCAAATTGAAGTGAAATACCAAGTTTGCCTCTTGCAAATCTGGTTTCATCTCCAGTCCGGAGGAGCACCTTGGGGTCTGATTGGGGTTTACTCTTCTGGCGAGGAAACCTAGGACTCTGGCTTTAAATGGTGCCCTGCCCAGGGGTCCCTGCCCCTGCCCCTGCCTGAAAGTCCACTTATGGCTTGAATCTGACAGGAAACTTAAGAACATGCCCAAGAAGCTCCTAAAACTCAGGAGCATGCCTCACCATGCCCAGCATTGACCACGTGCTGGGCCCAGGCCCTCATATCTGCTATGGCTGACCCAGCTGTCCAGTGTGGTGGATGTGGTCACTGTTTTGCAGAAGGTGGGCTGGGCCGGGCCAGCCTGGGTGACGAGGCCAGAAATGGAACCACTCTGCTTTCTTTGTTGGTTAGAAGTGGTCTAGACATGGTGGTGTCTGTCCTCTAGTGGAAGGCCTGGACACAGCCCATCCCAGGCAGGGTGAAGTCACCATTGCAGGCAGGCACATCTTGCCTGGTATCCACTCCCTCAAGTTGCCCTATTTTTGGGTGGTCATGGAAATGATTACTCCCTGCTTTTCACACAGAAAAGACAAACATACACCCTCACAAACAAGCTGGCACGCATGTGGGCGGAGCACCTGCAGGCACTCGAACACTCGCACACTGGAGTGTGCACCAGCCTTCCCGCCACAGCCCTCGGATCCTACTTCTCCAACAGGATGTTCTTTGAATGTAAGAAAAAAGATGCCAAGAGATCCACGAGGAGGATGGAGCAGGACCTGAAACCCCCTGGGGTTCCTCCATAGGAGACTCTCTGCTCGGGCAGGTGGCCCGACATGCACACTGCCCCTCCTGTCAAGCCATTGGCAGTGGCCCCTCCCGCGTGCCAGCTCCTCAATGAACCTTTGTTCGTCTGTAGCCTGTTAGCTTTGGCTGCTGGCAGCCTGTGGGACCAGGCCCACATCCCAGGACTAGCCGATAGAGACTGCCCTTTTGAAGCAAGTGAATTGGACTCCTGGAAGAGTCATTCCTCCACTCCCTCATTGAAACCACCTAATAACCGTGATCCTCATATCTGGATCTGGTGCACAGAATTGACTGATATATCTGTTTTTGTGATGAATTGCCTTCCGCAATTAACTAGAAGCCCTAGAATGTCTTGGACCTTGCCTGGTCTTTTTTCCTTGTTTATTTTGAAAAAGTAATACAGTAGTCCCCCCTTATCTGAGGGGGTGTGTTCTAAGACCCCAGTGGATGCCTGAAAGCTCAGATAGTGCCGAACCCTGTATACAGTACATTTTTTTCACATGTTAGCTCTATACTTGTGATAAAGCTTAATTTATAAGTTAGGCACAGTAAGAGATTAACAACAATAATAACATAGAGCAATTATGACAATCTACTATTCACAATTGCATGGATAGAAAATCTGTTTTTACCATAGATCTTAGCAACCTCAGCCTTGTTAAGTTGAGAACTTGCACCTTTTCACTTAATGAAAGCACTTTAAGGCTTCTCTAGGTCATATCTGAATTGCCAGCATCACTACTCTTATGCTTTGTGGCCATTATTAAGTAAAATAAGGGCTACCTGAACATAAGCACTGTGATACCACAACCATGGATCTGATCACTGAGATGGCTGCTAAGTGACTTAGCAGGTGGGTGGCAACTACAGTGTGGATCTGCTGGACAAAGGGATGAGTCATGTCCCAGGCGGGACAGAGCGGTACGGCGTGAGATTTTGCTATTCCAAATGGTGCACGGTTTAGGATTTATAGATTGTTTATTTCTGCAACTTTCCATGTAATATTTTCAGACAGCGGTTGATCATGGGTAAAGCACAATACCGCAGAAAAGGGAGGAATGCCGTACATTCCAGTGTTATATTTCAACAATACAAAACGGTGTTCAGTGAACACTCCTTCTCACTGGACCCCTTGCTTCTCCAGCTCATCTCTGCAAAGGGAAATCGCTGTGGCACTCTTACCTTTTCTTATGTATCCATCTTGGCTGTCTTTTCTCCTCCCTCCTCTCCTACATGTCTGTGTGGATATCTCTGAATATAAACGGTAGCCATACCAGGCCGGGCGCAGTGGCTCACGCCTATAATCCCAGCACTTTGGGAGGCCAAGGTGGGTGGATTGCTTGAGGTCAGGAGTTCGAGACCAGCCTGGCTAACATGGTGAAACCCTGTCTCTACTAAAAATACAAAAATTAGCTGGGCGTGGTGGTACACGCCTGTTATCCCAGCTACTCAGGAGGCTTAGGCAGGGGAATTGCTTGAACCCGGGAGGCGGAGGTTGCAGTGAGCTGAGATTGCCACTGCACTCCAACCTGGTGACAGAGTGAGACTCCCATCTCAAAAAAAAAAAAATAGATAATAAAAATAAAAAACACATGGGCTGGGCACGGTGGCTCGTGCCTGTAATCCCAGCACTTTGGGAGGTCGAAGCGGGCAGATCACGAGGTCAGGAGATCAAGACCATCCTGGCTAACATGGTGAAACCCCGTCTCTACTAAAAATACAAAAAATTAGCTGGGCATGGTGGCGGCGGGCATCTGTAGTCCCAGCTACTTGGAGGCTAAGGAAGGACAGTGGCGTGAACCTGGGAGGTGGAGCTTGCAGTGAGCCGAGATCGCGCCACTACAATCCAGCCTGGGCGACAGAGTGAGACTCTGTCTCAAAAAAACAAACAAAACAAAACAAAACAAAACAAACAAACAAAAAAACAGAAAAAAGAAAAACAAATGGTAGCCATACCATATATCTTGTACCTTGGTTTTATTTTTGTTTTTTCACTTAACAGTGCATCTTGTAGGTCTTCCCTATGTGTTACCACATAGAAATGTGTTATTTTAAAAATTACCCCGTAGTGTTCCACTGTGTAGATATGCCAGTTTTTTTGTTTTGTTTTGTTTTGTTTTTGAGATGAGCCTCGCTGTGTCGCCCAGGCTGGAGTGCAATGGCGCAATCTCAGCTCACTGCAAGCTCCGCCTTCCAGGTTCATGCCATTCTCCTGCCGCAGCCTCCCAAATAGCTGGGACTACAGGCACCTGCCACCACACCCGGCTAATTTTTTGTATTTTTAGTAGAGATGGGGTTTCACCGTGTTAGCCAGGATGGTCTCGATCTCCTGACCTTGTGATCCACCCTCCTCGGCCTCCCAAAGTGCTGGGATTACAGGCGTGAGCCACCGCGCCTGGCGATATGCCAGTTTTGACTGGTTCCCTGTGATGAATATCTAGGTTATTTCCAACCTTTTGCTGCCGCAAACAGTGCTGCAGTTTAATGTCCTTCTCTTCACGTCTTTGTGCCCATGTGAGGTGGATCTGTCGAATCACTTCCTAGGAGTGGGCTTGTGGGTCACAGGGATGTGCAGTTACAGTGTTGATGGGCAGTTGTCAGCTTGCCCTTCAAAAAGGCTCACAATTGTTTTTGCCCATCATTCTATCCCCAGCACCAGCTTAGTGACGAGAACTCTTCCCCACCAGAGCTCTAAACTGATTGGGAAGTAAAACGGAGGAATCACTTTGTAGCAGCGCTATTCGCTGTAGCCCAAAGGTGGATACGACCTGTGTCCTACTGATGATGGATAAACAGAATGTGGTCCATCTATACATGGAATATGATTCTGCCTTGAAAGTAATGAAGTTCTGAGAATATTTTTTTCTTTCTTTCCCCCTCCCCCCTTCTTCTCTCTTTCTCTCTTCCCTTCCTTCCCCTTCTCTTTCTTTTCTCTTTTCTTTTCTTCTTTTGAGACAGGGTCTTGCCCTGTCACCCAGGCTGGAGTGCAGTGGTACAATAGTGGCTCACTGCAGCCTTGACCTCCTGGGCTCGAGCAATCCTCCCATCTCAGTCTTCTGAGTAGCTAGGACCACAGGCACATGCCACCAAGCCCAGCTGATTTTCTGATTTTTTGTGGAGATGGTGGTCTCTCACTACGTTACCCAGACCAGTCTCAAACTCCTGGGCTCAAGCAGTTCTCCTGCCTTGGCCCCTCAAAGTGCTGGGATTACAAGTGGGGAACTAGGTAATGGTGCTGGTTATAAAACATTGTGAATGTTCTTAATGGCACTGAATCATCTACTTTAAAATGGTTAAAATGGTAAATTTTATATTTATTTTACTACAAGAAAAAGAGTCAGCAGATGGTGGCCAAAATATTACCTTTATTGTTGACCAAGCTGAGGATATGGCTTGTAAGAGAACCCTGGACTGACCTTCCACCTCCACCCCCTCTTCAGGAGCAGGGGAAGGAGGGAACGACCCCAGCCCAGGTTCTTCTTCAGCACTCATTGTACCTGTCCTGCAGCACTCACTGTGAGATGCCCCACTCTACCTGTCTGTCAGGGAGTAGGGAGGAAGCCAGGGATGTTTTGCTAAGGGGTGTCCCTCTAAGAAGCACCAGGAATGGTGAAGAAACGTTGTCCCATGACAAACAAATATGGTTGAATGAACAAATGAATGGGCTCCACCACTGTTCTGAGACCTATAACGATAGCCCCAGAGCCCTCTGCATGCTTGGTTTTTTTTTTTTTTTTTTGAAACGGTGTCTCACTCTGTCGCCAGGCTGGAATGCAGTGGTGCCATCTTGGCTCACTGCAACCTCCGCCTCCCAGGTTCAAGCGATTCCCCTGCCTCAGCCTCCCAAGTAGGTGGGACTACAGATGCATGCCACCATGCCCAGCTAATTTTTGTATTTTTAGTAGAGATGGAGTTTCACCATGTTGGCCAGGATGGTCTTGATCTCTTGACCTCATGATCTGCCTGCCTCGGCCTCCCAAAGTGCTGGAATTCCAGGCGCGAGCCACTGTGCCCAGCCTTTTTTTTTTTTTTTTTTTTTAAATTGAGATGGAGTCTTGCTCTGCTGCCCAGGCTGGAGTGCAGCGGCGAGGTCTCAGCCTCCTGAGTAGCTGGGATTACAGGCACGTGCCACCATGCCTGACTAATTTTTGTATTTTTAGTAGAGACAGGATTTCACCATGTTGGCCAGGCTGGTCTCGTGACCCTCCTGACCCTCGTGATCTGCCCACCTCGGCCTCCCAAAGTGCTGAGATTACAGGTGTGAGCCACCGTGCCCGGCCTCTGCCTGCTTTCTTTTGGAGAGAATGGTCTGAGCAGGAGTCAGGAGTTCGTCCCAGCCAGACCGAACAGAATTAGGGACCCCTGACCTGGCCATGCCCGGCCTGCCCTCTCTGCCTGCCCCTGTTCTTACTTCCAGCTTGGTCTGTGCAAGGCTTGCAATTTAATTTCCTTCCATTCCAAAGCAGTCTCTTGCCAGCCCTCTGAGGAATTCATAGTTTGCTAGTTTCATCCAAGAAAAGTTTTGAGAGAGACCTTTGTTGTACTGTGAATTTCCTGTTTCATGTCAAGAACCTGCCTTCTAGGAAGGGCAGCTGTGGCAGGGTGGTGTAAAGATTGTTCTTCATGGAAAATTTAGCATTCATTTAATAACTGCATATTTAAAACACCTCCCACGTGCCAGGCCCTGTGCTGGCGACCCTAGGCGATGGCCTTCCCACAGAGGGTGAGGAGAGGGCTAGCGAATGGGTGAGTGCAGTTGACCTCTGTTCTGATGGGCAGATGGCAGGGGCGGGTTCAGGAGGTGGAGGCCAGAGGAGGATTGCGTGTCTTGGGGGAAGCCAGTGGTCTTGCAGAAATGGTCAGAACATGTTTCTGGTCTGCTTTAAAGAAGGAATGGAGCATAATCCAAGTTAGACTAAGAGACAGCCCAGTCACCTTTGTCTGGAAGATGTTGAGCTGGCAGCATGAGTTAGGGGAGCAGAAGTCCCCCCAGTCACAGACGCTTTCTGGCGGTGCTTCCCTGGGGGCTCTGCCAGGGAGGGCTGCCCTCCACTGCTGCAGGCTCCCTTGTGGGCTTTGTAAAAAAAATTTTTAGACAGGGTCTCTCTCTGTCACCCAGGCTGAGGTGCAGTGGCACCATGATAGCTCACTGCACCCTCCAACTCCTGGGCTCCAGGGATCCTCCCACCTCAGCCTTCCAAGTAGCCAGGACCACAGGCACAGGCTACCACTCCCTGCTACTTTTTTCTTTTTCTTTTTCTTTTTTTTTTGAGACAGAGTCTTGCTCTGTCGTCCGGGCTGGAGTGCAGTGATGCGATCTCGGCTCACTGTACTCTCCGCCTCCCAGGTTCACGCCATTCTCCGGCCTCAGCCTCCCAAGTAGCTGGGAGTACAGGCGCCCGCCACCACGACGCCTGGCTAATTTTTTTTGTATTTTTAGTAGAGACGGGGGTTTCACCATGTTAGCCAGGATGGTCTCGATCTCTTGACCTCGTGATACACCCGCCTCGGCCTCCCAAAGTGGTGGGATTACAGGCGTGAGCTACCGTGCCCGGCCTTCTTTTCTTTTTCTTTTTTTTTTTTTAAAGAGACGAGGTCTTGTTATATTGCCCAGGCTGGTCTGGAACTCGTGAGCTCAAGTGATCCTCCCGCCTCAGCCCTCCAAGTGCTGGGATTACAGGCGTGAGCCACTGCACCTGGCCCATTGTGGGACTTTTAGAGCAGCTTTTCCTGAGTACCCTGTGAAGAAGGGTCCCCGTGGAGGTCTGCGTAGGAAATGTCCCTGCTCCTCTCCTTGAAGATTGACGGGGCACAGCCTAACAGCTCTGCCAGGCCCATCAGGAGCCTGCCCAGGGTTTCTGGGCATGAGTCGTCCAGGGTGTCCCTTCCTTTGTGACACCTGACGCATTCATTGCCACCTTGCCACCTTCTGAGGCATCACAGAACTTCACGCGTTGCCTCCTCAGATCTTGACTTGAAATTGCCTTGGGGGCGGGCTGGGGGTGCAGGCCGTCGACCCTTTCCGGCCCGCCGTGGCTGGTTTGTTTGGATTTTGAGTTGGACGCCCTTCTTTGTGTTTCTTGAGCGCCACCTGTTGGTCATAGAGATATTACCGAAACTCGGGGTGGAACGGTGATCCCAGTTGGGAGTTCTGGTCTCTGTGTTGCTGCTGAAGTCTGACTGTGTTTGACGTAAACACCCAAAGAAAAGGGAAACATTTCAGCTCACGGAGAGGAAGAAGAGGGGACCCTCAAACTAAACTTTGAGGTTTCTAGCCTGTAAGGCTAAATTTCCCTGCGTCTTGCCGCTCCCCTCATTGTGTGTGATTAAAGCTGTTGGTATGACACCCTCTGCCCTCCAGCTTTGTCTGCTGTACCCCCTGCCTTCAGACTCCCTTTTTTGGTTGGTTATTTTTGTTTGTTTGTTTTCTGAGACGGTCTTGCTCTTTCACTTAGGCTGGAGTGCATTGGTGCCATCATGGCTCACTGCAACCTCAAACACCTGGGCTCAAGCGACCTTCCTGCCTCAGTCTCCCCAGTAGCTAGGACTACAGACGCATGCCACCATGCCCTGTTCACACATTGAGGGCTTTTCACTGCCTCGATCAGGCTGAGTTCTGCTCACTGGGGCCACCACAGGCCAGGCAGAAGGAACTGTGTGGGCTTTGTCGAGCTGGCTTTCCCTATCCACTAGGCCTTTGCTTAAACGCCACTTCCTCCAGAAAGCCTCCCCTCACTGCTCTGGTCAGGTTGGCTATCCACCTTGTGCCCACAGCCATCTGCCCTTCAGGACGCTGAGCACAGAGGCATGACGTGTGCTCCCACCCAAGGCGTGCTGCATGAGGGGAACCTCCCCGCCTCAGCTGTCCCCCACCCTCAGCCGTCCCCCGCCCCAGCCGTCCCCCGCCCTCAGCTGTCCCCCTCCTCAGCCGTCCCCCCACCCTCAGCCGTCCCCCACCTCAGCCGCCCCCCCGCCCTCAGCCGTCCCCCACCTCAGCCGTCCCCCTGCCCTCAGCCGTCCCCCTCCTCAGCCGTCCCCCCACCCTCAGCCGTCCCCCTCCTCAGCCGTCCCCCGTCCTCAGCCGTCCCCCACCTCAGCCGCCCCCCCGCCCTCAGCCGTCCCCCACCTCAGCCGTCCCCCTCCTCAGCCGTCCCCCGCCCTCAGTCCTCGGCTCTTCACAGTGCAGAGCAGATGAGGCTTCTGCAGCTACGCAATCCCACCCTCAGGGCTGGCCTGGCACTCGGAGCTGACCTCTGCCCAGGTCTCTGTTCCTGGTGTTGGCAGAGGGCACCGGCGTCACCTTTTCCACCTGTGGAGAAAGAGGAACCACATGGCAATATGGCAAACATAAGAGAAAGGACTTCAGGGCGGGGGTTGTTAAAAACATCATACCCTTCAATATATGTACCTACTATGTACTCATAAAAATCAAAACAATTTTTTTTTTAATTATGCCTTTTGCCAGGCACGGTGGTGCATGCCTGTAATCCTACCACTTTTGGAGGCCGAGGTGGGAGGATCACTTGAGGTCAGGGGTTCAAAACCAGCCTGACGAACGTGGTAAAACCCTGTCTCTACTAAAAATACAAAAATTAGGCCGGGCTTGGTGGCTCACGCCTGTAATCCCAGCACTTTGGGAGGCCGAGGCAGGCAGATCAGCTGAGGTCAGGAGTTCCAGACCAGCCTGACCAACATGATGAAATCCCATCTCTACTAAAAATAGAAAATTAGCTGGGTGTGGTGGCGCATGCCTGTAATCCCAGCTATACAGGAGGCTGAGGCAGGAGAATCACTTGAACCCGGGAGGCAGAGGTTGCCGTGAGCTGAGGTCGCGCCATTGCACTCCAGCCTGGGCAACAAGAGCGAAACTCCATCTCCAAAAACAAACAAAAATTTGGCTGATGTGGTGGTGGGCACCTGTAGTCCCAGCTACTCGGTTGGCTGAGGCGGCAGAATCGCTTGAAGCCAGGAGGCGGAAGTTGCAGTGAGCCAAGATCTCGCCACTGCACTCCAGCCTGGGCAACAGAGCGAGACTCCATCTCAAAAAAAAAAAAAATTATTCCTTTCAGTAATAACTTAACCCTAGATCATTGAGATTGTTATTAATATCTTTGTGTTTGCTTTAGGGTTTACCAGTTGTGTGTGTGTCTAAACATGTATGTGTGTGTGTATTTTACTGTACCCAAATGTGCTTTCATTTAGTCCTTATTAACACACTCTAGAGGAGGAGGCGTCATTCTGATTTTACCCAGGGCACTGCTGTGGTAGGCAGCAGGTACGCCATGACACAGCAGTGGCTGTCTGATTCCGTAGCTGCCTGCTGTACCACCGGTGAGGCCAGGCCATCAGCATGGAGGTGGGTTAGATGAGCCTTTGAACTTGGGAGAGAAGGAAGGAAGGAAGGTGTGTGACTACTCTGAGTCCCTGACCCGTTGTGCAGAGGCTGCTGCTGTCTGCGTGTCTCTTGTGTGCTGAGAGGATGCACTGTGACATTTTTCTGGGGGAGTCATAACCTTCTGGCCTGTATTGCCCAAAGCCTGGGCTCCTTGGGGGTTTGGGTGGGGATAGGCACAAGGGTCCTGCCAGGGGCACAGCCAGGGCATCTGCCTTCCAGGGCAGGTTCCAGGTTCACAGAATGTTTGCTGCTCAGGCGCCTCCTGTGAAGACTGCAGCTACTGTTGGCAAATCTCGGCTTGCCACGTGGCCTTTCTGAGTGGGACTGGAGAAGGGGCAGGGCTGTGGCCTGTGGTCAGATCAAACCTCCACAGCCGCACTGTGATATGGACCAGAAATAGTGCCTTGCCCATCTCAAGCCATCTGAAAAAGAGAAACCCTATGCGGGCTGCCCAGAGATGGCTCCCGGCCTAGCACTTGGAAAACTGAGCTGCCCAAGACAGCTGTGCCACCAGGGAGGCTGGGTTTACAAGTGCTCTGGACTTATTGAATGAAGAATTGTTAATTGAGCCCCTACTATGTGCCAAGCCACCAAACGTCCTCCCTAGAGGAGCTGCAGTGTCAACAGGGAAAGGTGCTTGTGTGCAGACACTACTACATAAGAGCTCCCGTGAGACCGTCCCCGAGTGGAGGAGAGCAGAGGGGCCCTGAAGGAATCAGCAGCAGCCTGGGAGAGGCCAGGCCAGCTCAGAGGAGATGGTGTCGGGGGCAGCATCTTGAAGGATTAGGAGGTGGCTGAGTGGAGGGCCATCAAGAGTGAGGACCATGTCAGAGGCTCTGGGAGGCAGAATAGGCCCTGCCCTGCAGGCACTCAGGCCAGTGGGATGCTCGGGTACTTGGATTGTGAATGCCTCGTGGGGGCTGGTGGCAAAGCAGGCAGGCCACGACCAGGTCACAGGAGCCTGGTTTGCACTCTGTGGTCAACAGATTTCTTCTAATTTTTAGTTATGGAAAATTTGTAGGATATGCCAAAGTAGACGGAAGAATGTAGTGAACCCCACATGCTGCCACCGCACACACCAGTTGCTGTGTGACCCATGACTGCCCTTGGTCTGCCCCTCTCTGGAAACAAGAATGACTTTGAATCCAGGAAGGGAGGCTGGTCAAATGTGAATAACAATGAACAGCCCAAATGTAACCTTTGCTCCTCCTGGAGGGCACTCACTGCATGCCCAGTGTTCAGTTTGTTAGTCTGGTTCATGGAATCCTCCCAGCAGCCCTCTGCAGAGGTGTTTGGGTTAAAGTCCCTTCAACAGATATTGGTGGGTGGCTCCAAGGCTGCAAAACCCCCACGGCCAGTCCTGCCCTCCGCGCCCTGACAGTATCCCCACCATGCCCTGCCCTGTGTGGCTCTGAAGAAATCCCCCAGTGACCTGAATTCCATGAAGCCGGGTGTATGGCTGGGGGTGGATCAGTCAAGAGTTTGGTCCTGGAATGATCGGGTGGCACTTTGTAATTTCACTTCAATTTCAGAGTAACCACTGAGTCTCCCCGCTTTGCCTTGCCTTTCAGTGGGAAGTTGGTGTCTCCAAAGTGGAAGAATTTCAAGGGCCTGAAGCTACAGTGGAGAGACAAGATCCGGCTCAATAATGCCATCTGGCGGGCCTGGTACATGCAGTGTAAGTGCCGCCCAGCCTGGGCGCCGGTGGTGGTCAGAACTTCACGGCCTGGAGGCCTGGGCACCCAGGGACCAGAGTCTGCTCCTGGGACCTGGTGTTTCTAACAGAAGTTCAGTCTGTGCAGACAGGAAACCCAAGCCATCAGGCCCAGCAGAGGGGTGGCATCTGAAGAGTCAGGGAGCAGGTCTAGGAAGACTCAGGCATGGGCCTTCTCTCTCCAGCCCGAGTGTCATGGATCCGGTAGCTTCTCCGGGAGATGAGTGTGCTAGGGCAGGCTTGTGTTGGGCTGGTCTTTCTCTGAGAAGCCACACTGCCTCTCTGACTGAGGCGTTCGTTATTGACAGATTCCTCTCCTTTCACCTGGACTCCTTTATTTCCCTGAAATCTCCTTTTCCTAGGGAAGGAGAAGGAAAGGGTACCTGGGAATGTGGTCTGCCCTAGGGGAGGGGTGCAGCAGACAGGCTGGGGCTCCCTCAGGGGTCTGGATCATGGTGCTGACTCTCACCCTCTCTCTGCTCAGATCTGGAGAAGCGCAAGAATCCTGTGTGCCACTTTGTGACACCCCTGGACGGCTCTGTGGACGTAGACGAGCACCGCCGGCCGGAGGTACTTGGCAGTGACCAAGGGTGGCTGAGAGTGGAAACATACCAGCACCTCACCGGGAGTGGCTCACCGCGGGCTGGTCCTGTAGGAGAGGCTGCCGAGGGTAGTGCAGCGCCTGCCCTGCGCCATCCATGCCCTGGGGGCCAGGCCTGGGAGCTGGTGGCCTCTGGCAACCCCAGGCTGCAGAGCCTCCCCCTTCTCAGAGGGACTGGCCCAGGGACTGAGGGGGTTAATATCTTTCTGTTAATTTTTAAAGTGTGTGTCTATGTGTGATTATACATGCACAGGAAGTGTCTAGAGGAATATATAGAAGTGTCTTTATTAAGAGACTTCAGGAACCTCTGGGGAGTAGGATTAGGGCTGCCAGATGAGGGGGAGATGCTTTCTTCACTGCATACTCTTCTGTGTGGCTTTAATTTTGTCTAGGCATGTCTCACTGTTAACGATAAAGGGGGAATTTAGAAGGTAAGCTAATGAAAGACAGTTTTGAGACAGGTATAATCTGGTATTAGACAGTATCAAGGGATATCATTTTGTTGGGTATGGCAATATTGTAATCAGTTCTTTTTAACAGAAAAGCATCTTTGCTGTCGAGGACACACACACAGTGTTTGTAGGTGAGGTGATTTGGGCCTTGAGATCAGAAAGTGAGGCAACCCCAGGCATTGGGGCTCCTTATCTCTGGAGCTCGAAGGCTGTCATGCAAGGCATCCACACTGGCATCACGCGAAGGTTGGATGAGAGGCCCCTGGAGGGCACATTCCACCTGAAACTTCCTGGAATTGGCTGTTCATTTTTGCCCTTTGAATGTGGCAGAGGCTGTGGGGAAGGGGCATTTATGGGGGGGCTTGGGAATTGCTGCAGCGTTCCCCTGCTTCTTCCTCTGTGGAGCATTCTGCTCTCACCCTGTCCTCCTGGACAGAGCCTCAGGACCGTGCCCCCAAGGCCTTTGGCTACCTTAGGTCTTGAAATGACAGCGCATTGTTAGCTAGAGGGTCTGCTATAGCATGGAAGAAGTGGGACGTACTTTCTGAGTGATGTGGTAGCCACTGTGGGGTTTCCCGCTGGATTGCCTAAGGCCTGATTATAGTGCCGGATACTCAGTACACCAGTTGAGCTTTGCTAATCAAGCAGAGCCCCCTCTTCACTCTGCTCTCTGTCCCTGTCCTAGGCCATCACCACGGAAGGGAAGTACTGGAAGAGCCGCATCGAGATTGTGATCCGGGAGTATCACAAGTGGAGAACCTACTTCAAGAAAAGGGTATCTGGCTGGAGTGTTCAGGCAGCCCGCCTAGGGAGGGAGTGGGCAGAGTCCCTGGTTCAGGGCCCTGGCCGAGGCGGTAGGCTCCACAGCCGCCCCACCTGAACGTGGAGCGTCAAGCAGTAAATCTGGGGCCCAGCGTGCCAGACTAGCCTGGGCAATGGCCTGCCTCGGTCAGGTTGTCTTTGCTCTCAGTTTCCCCATCTGTGCACTGGGTGGAAGTCTCCTTTGTGCAGGCATCGGCCTGGGGATGGTGTGAGCAGGACCCCTACCTGCCTCCCTGAGAGTTCTGTATATTCTAGAGCCCTTGGGCCCTCCTAGGGCCATTGGTGACCGCCGTGTCCTGTCCCTTTGCCCACAGCTACAGCAGCACAAGGATGAGGACCTCTCCAGCCTGGTCCAGGTGGGTGAGCCTGGGAGCTCTGAGGACCCCCACTTTGACATGAGACAGCAGGGACTTCGGTGGCCCACCAGGGAGCCCTGCAAAAGGCGGCAGGCCATGGGCCCTCCCTGGAGTCTCAGGAATGGCTCAAGAAGCAGTCCAGCTCTCTCTCCTGGGTGGGCTGGAGGGAGCCGCTCTCCAAATGCCTCCACCCTGCTGCCTCACTTCCACTGAGCACCCCTTTGACGAATTTCCCCAGGTGACAGGCGTGGGAATTCTTCGTCCCACTGTTACTCTTTGATGCTTCCTCCCCTGTGTTGGTGTTGTGTTAGGACGATGACATGCTGTATTGGCACAAGCACGGGGATGGATGGAAGACCCCCGTCCCCATGGAGGAGGATCCCCTGCTGGACACAGACATGCTCATGTCGGAATTCAGCGACACCCTCTTCTCCACACTTTCTTCACACCAGCCGGTGGCCTGGCCCAATCCCCGGGAAATAGGTAACCCAAACCAGGGCCTTGGGCTTTGAACAGCCAGCCGCTTCCTTCTCTGCCAGGCCCCCTCTGGGCCAGGGTTCCTTCAGGGCCATCTCTGAGCTGCTGCACGTCACGGTTGGGGGCAGGCAGTAAGGAAGGGAAGGATGGCTGGCCTCATTTGACATCCAGGCCGCACGTACCGAGTGGGTGGGGTCTGCAGAGTGGGCCCACTGGGCAGCTGCCATTCCCGTAGTGCCATGGTGGGAGGACAGCAGCAGGGTCTAGTCTGAGTCATTGGCACATTTCAGATACCGTTCTCTTCACGGGGTACGTGTGCCGTGCCTAAGCCGAGGCGGCCGGGCCGTGACTCATGCTAAAGAAAATCAGAAGCACTCCCGGGTGTGACCGCTCACCTTGGTGGCATTCAGTCTTCCAGTTAACCTCTCAGGGAAGAGCCCAAAGATTGAAAATTAGAACAGTGTTCGGGGAGGTCTCTGTTCTCTCTTGAGCTCTTTACAGCTTCCTGGGGTGTCCATTCCCTGATACTCAATTTTACCTTCCTGGCAAAAACTTACTTTCCTGCCTTTTGAGGGTGCGGAATGGCCACAAACCCTGAGAAGGTAGAAATCCCAGCCAGCTCCTTGGAAGACTCTGGGATGTGAGCAGGGCCAGGAAGTTCTGTTCCAGGCCTTTTTTACGTTCCTGCAACATTGTCTGAGAAGACAAAATGGTTCCTCTCTCTGTGATTCTTGCAGCACATCTGGGAAATGCAGACATGATCCAGCCGGGACTGATTCCTTTGCAGCCTAACCTGGACTTCATGGACACCTTTGAGCCTTTCCAGGGTGAGGACCAGAGGCAGAGAGAGCACGGTTGCCTCCATCTCCCCCAGCCCAGCACAGAGCAGATCGCTGCCTTCCTTTAAGAGGCGAGACTTGGTAGAATGGGCAAGGGGGCGAGCAAAGAATTTTTTTTTAAACTGAACTGTTTTTTGTAGTAACTGCAAGGTCTGGGAAGTTTTTCTGGGACATTGTTCAGCAAGGAAATTGGCTCTGGATTTAGCCGTGACTGTAAGCAGTTCTCCCTCGAAGCAGCAGAGGGCACTGATGACACAGCCAGCTCCCTACCAAGGCCCTGCAGTTAGATGGGTCCTTGAGCACCTGCCATTGTGACAGCAGCAGAAACGTCAGGCCTGGGAGTGTTTCAGAGCCCAGGATAGTTGCCAACATGTGTGGTTCCAACCAGAGCCCCCTTTCTACAGAAAAAAAGGTGTCTCAGGGTAATACCCTCTGTCCATGGCATCCCCCTGGGCCATGTGGGGTTTAGGGGTTTAGTCCTTGATTTGTTTGAGTCTTTTTTTTTTTTTTTTTTTTTTTTTAGAGACAGGGTCTTGCACTGTCACCCAGGCTAGAGTGCAGTGGTTCAATCATGGTTCACTGCAGCCCTGAACTCCTGGGCTCAAGCGATCCTCCCACCTCAGCCTCCTGAGTACCTGGGACTACAGGCACACACCACCACACCCAGTTCATTTCTTCATTTTTTTGTAAAGACGGGGGTCTGCTATGTTGCCCAGGTGATCCTCCTGCCTCTGCTTCCCAAAGTGCTGGGATTACAGGTGTAAGCCATCACACCCAGCCTGTTTTAGTCTTTGTTATTTTGAGACAGAGCCTTGCTCTGTAGCCCACGCTGGAGTGCAGTGGCAAGAACACGGCTCACTGCACCCTCAACCTCCCTCCTGGACTTAAGCGATCCTTCCGCTTCAGCCTCCTGTGTAGTTGGGACCACTGGTGGCACCAACCAGGCATGGTGGTTGTGGTTGGCACCTTTTTTTTTTTTTTTTTTTTTTTTTTTTTGAGACGGGAATCTCGCTCTGTCATCAGGCTGGAGTGCAGTGGTGCGATCTTAGCTCACTGCAACCCCTGCCTCCTGGGTTCAAGCCATTCTCCTGCCTCAGCCTCCTGAGTAGCTGGGACTACAGGCATGTGCCACTACACCCAGCTAATTTTTGTATTTTTAGTAGAGATGGAGTTTCACCATGTTAGCCAGGATGGTCTTGATCTCTTGACCTCATGATCTGCCTACCTCGGCCTCCCAAAGTGCTGGGATTACAGGCATGAGCCACCGTGCCTGGCCCTGTTTGAGTCTTGATTCCAGCAAATGCTGGGCACACTGAGCTCAGAAGACCCCTGCTGTTGTTTTTCAGACCTCTTCTCTTCTAGCCGCTCCATTTTTGGCTCCATGCTACCTGCATCTGCCTCAGCACCTGTACCAGATCCCAACAACCCACCTGCACAGGTAGAGGAAGCTGGGGGATGGGTGGGGGAAGGGGCTGGCAGGCACAGGGCTGCTCATCAAAGGTTTGCTGCCAGAGCAAGGCTAATGGCATAGCCACACAGTCACCAGCAAAGCGCCAAGCAGTGCTAGACCAGCACTAATGTGCAGAGGCACGATTCCATCCCTCTTTTACAGCATCCTTCAGCACCCATGGGGTGGGAGACTCTTGGTCCAGGTGTGCTTCTGCCTGAGTGCCAGGTAACCTATGTGCAGCTAGCTCTGCTCCGACTAATTAACACAGAATTAGCTAGACAGAGAAGAAAAACATGGATTACTAATAAAAATAACTTCTGTATATTTCTTTCACGTTTTACTAAGCAATCCAAAAAGTTGCTTACAGGTGCTTGGGGCTACAGAGCTGAGTGAGGTACCATTCTTTGTCCTTACGGAGCCCTCATGCTTATGCCCATGACCAGTTAGACACTGGTAACCTGGCACCATCTTCAAACGGGCTCCGGGAAGAATTGCTACTGCAGAGACTGGGATCTGAACCATTGATTCCTCGTAGCTTTTCTTATTTAGGAAGAGGTGGCCTGATGACCAGTTGACACGTGAAATTGTCCTCGGGGATTCCCGAGCAGCTGCAATCCAGGCTGCCTCTGCTCAGTAATAGAAGATGGCAGAGACTTTGGGGAGACTCTGCTGGACTCCAGAAACAAGATATTCCCAGGCTGCTAGCCAGCTGTGTGAGGGCCGTTGCCTTATCTGAGCTCTGAGTTATTTAGTTTTTAATGGAAACAAGACCCCCGCAGACACGCAGGGAAACACAAATCCCTATCAGATCAGCAGCCATGGACGTGGAGACGTGGCCTTTGTCCCTCTGTCCCAGCGCCCGGCCTGTGTAGTTGGACTTGGCAGTGTGCAGCGCTAGAAAGGAATTGTCTGACCCCAGCATTGCTTCCTGGCTCCTTTCTTCCTTTTTCAGGAGAGCATCCTGCCGACCACAGCCCTCCCCACTGTGAGCCTTCCTGACAGCCTCATCGCGCCCCCTACCGCCCCATCCCTGGCTCACATGGATGAGCAGGGCTGTGAACACACCTCCCGGACTGAGGACCCGTTTATCCAGCCCACGGACTTCGGTCCCTCAGAGCCGCCACTGAGTGTCCCGCAGCCCTTCCTCCCTGTCTTCACCATGCCCCTGCTGTCTCCCAGCCCCGCCCCACCGCCCATCTCCCCCGTGTTACCATTAGTTCCTCCTCCTGCCACTGCCCTGAACCCCCCGGCTCCACCCACCTTCCATCAGCCACAGAAGTTTGCTGGAGTCAACAAAGCGCCGTCTGTCATCACCCACACGGCCTCTGCCACCCTCACCCACGATGCCCCCGCCACCACCTTTAGCCAGAGTCAGGGCCTTGTGATCACCACCCATCACCCTGCCCCGTCAGCGGCCCCTTGTGGGCTGGCACTGTCTCCTGTCACCCGGCCTCCCCAGCCACGGTTAACTTTTGTGCACCCCAAACCTGTATCCTTGACTGGGGGCAGGCCTAAGCAGCCCCACAAAATAGTGCCTGCTCCCAAACCAGAGCCCGTGTCCTTGGTGTTGAAGAATGCCCGTATCGCCCCAGGTGAGCCAGGCGGGGAGACTCAGTGCGGGGCTCCCCCCGACCCAGAGGGATGTTTTCCCATCCCAAAGGCTTTCAAACTTGTGACCACCACCACCACCCTGGTGTGCACGTGCATGCGCACACACATACACTTAAATGAAACAAAAGTGTCATGAAATAATACATGGCCATGATCTAGTCCGTTTTCTATGCTCTATCTTTTTTGTTTTTTTGTTTGGTTTTTTTTTTTTTGAGACAGTCTCTGTTGCCCAGGCTGGAGTGCAGTGGCATAATCTCGGCTCACTGCAACCGCCCCCTCCCGGGTTCAAGCGATTCTCCTTCGTCAGCCTCCCGAGTAGTTGGGATTACAGGTGTGCGCCACTATACTCGGCTAATTTTTGTTTGTTTGTTTGTTTTTTGAGATGGAGTCTCACTCTGTCGCCTAGCTGGAGTGCAGTGGTGTGATCTCGGCTCACTGCAACCTCCGCCTCCTGGGTTCAAGTGATTCTCCTGCCTCAGCCTCCCGAGTTAGCTGGGATTACAGGCGCCCATCACTACACCCAGCTAATTTTTTGTATTTTTAGTAGAGATGGGGTTTCACCATGTTGGCCAGGCTGGTCTCGAACTCCTGATCTCAGGCGATCTGCCCACCTTGGCCTCCCAAAGTGCTGGGATTACAGGTGTGAGCCCCCACACCCAGTCTCTATTCTCTTTTTTTTTTTTTTGAGACGGAGTTTCACTGTTATTGCCCAGGCTGGAGTGAGATGACATGATCTTGGCTCACTGCAACCTCTGCCTCCCGGGTTCAAGTGATTCTCCTGCCTCATCCTCCTGAGTAGCTGAGATTACAGGCATGTGCCACCACACCTGGCTAATTTTGTATCTTCAGTAGAGATGGGGTTTCACCACATTGGCCAGGCTGGTCTCGAACTCCTGACCTCTGGTGATCCACCTGCCTCGGCCTCCCAAGGTGCTGGGATTACAGATGTGAGCCATTGCACCCAGCCTCTCTATCTTTTTTTTAAAGTTAGTCACAACCTACAGTGTGAAAACATGGTCCTGGCCATCTCTTTCCTGGGTCTATAACATGTCTCCTTCAAGAAGTCACACAAATGGTTTTAGGTGCCTTGGTGGCTTTGTCTTCCTGTCCCCTGGGGTTGAGAACAAGCTGTCTCACTGGCAGAGAGGCAGCCTCTGCAGGGTGGGCCAGGCCCTGTGGCCCAGGGCTGCACCTGAACATCCTCCTTATCCTGGCAGCTGCCTTTTCAGGCCAACCACAAGCGGTGATCATGACGTCAGGGCCTCTGAAGAGAGAAGGGATGTTGGCCTCCACCGTGTCCCAGTCCAACGTGGTCATTGCGCCTGCTGCCATCGCCAGGGTGAGGAGGGCCCTAGGCAGACCTGCAGTGTCCTTCTCACCCCGGAGCACTCTGATCTTGGGCGGCCCTCACCTGAGACGACTGGTGTGCCGCCCTGCTGTATATCAGCAGTCAGGGGTGACCTGTCTCCCATGTCACTGCAGGCTCCTGGGGTCCCGGAGTTCCACAGCAGCATCCTGGTGACAGATCTCGGCCATGGCACGAGCAGCCCGCCTGCCCCCGTCTCCCGGCTCTTCCCAAGCACAGCGCAAGACCCCCTGGGGAAGGGCGAGCAGGTCCCGCTGCATGGGGGCAGCCCCCAGGTCACTGTCACAGGGCCCAGTGAGTGTTCACTCGGCGGGATGGTTGGGGCATCGCAAGGGAAGTAACTGGGCCTGCCGTAGACCATGGGGGGTGCTTGCTGGGTCCCCAGGACGGAGCCTGGGCTTAGGACACACAGTGAGGTCTTGTAGGCCTGCTGATAACACAGTCTGGGAACACGCTCTGTGGGTGGCAGGATGAAATGTGGTGGCACTGGCAGGGCAAAAAGTAGTGAACATGTGGCAGTGTAGGTGACCCGTGTGCTCGGGGAGTCCCTGCTGACTGCCCACGAAGGCCTGGTACTGAGCTGCTGATCTCACCCAGAGAAGGGATTGAGGAGCCCTGGGCTTCCTGTCTCTGGGAGCATCAGCCTGGGGTTGCTGTGGCCACAGAAGCCGTCCAGCCTCATCTGGGCACCAACGTGGCCTTCCCCAGCAGGTCTCAGCACTACAGGTCTGTGGCCCATGTCCACTCTTAGGCCATCCAGGGGCAAGATAGTCAGAGCAGGACTGATTTTGCCCAGGGACATCTGAGGAGCCAACAGGCCAGATCAGGGACAAATGGTGTGCCCGAGGCTGTGCTGCTGGTAGAGGGTGTGGGCAGATGGGGCCCCTTCCCTCAAATGCCTGCCATACCAGGAAGGGAAATGGAAATGGCCTCTTTTCTTAAATAAATGCATGGTGTAGGCCAGGCGCAGTGGCTCATGCCTGTACGCCCAGCACTTTGGGAGGCTAAGGCAGGTGGATCACTTGAGGTCAGGAGTTCGAGACCAGCCCAGCCAACATGGTGAAACCTTGTCCCTATCAAAAAATGCAAAAAAAAAAAAAAAAAAAAAAAGCAGGGCTTAGTGGCATGCACCTGTAGTCCCAGCTACTCAGGAGACCGAGATGGGAGAATCACTTGAATCCAGGAGGTGGAGGTTGAAGTGAGCTGAGATCGAGTCACTGCACTCCAGCCTGGGTGACAGAGCGAGACTCAATCTCAAACAAACAAAGGCATGGTGTAGCTGCTCCTGGAACTCTGAGCAAACAGTTGTCTCCCTCTTCCCTCAGGAAGACGCGAATGAGGGAGGGTCTCTGACTTAGTGGGCTCAGCCAGCAGGGGCCTTTTCCAAGGACAGGCTTTGGAGAGTAAGGACTCTTCAGTCTGGAAAGATAGAAACAAGAGAGTTGGGAGTCAGGCCCCTCAAATAATCGAGGGAGAGGTTAGGGCCAACCATTGCCTTGGTCTCCGGAGTCTCAGAACACAGAACTTAGAGCCTGCTGCACAGCCTCACGGGGAGTTTGGGGAAAATAATCCAGCAGAGAGGAAAGGAAGCGGAGGCATTTGTTACAGTAAAGCAGAATGGGCCGAGAAGGCCGAGTCCACCTGGGACTGAGCACGGTCACTCACTCCTCTAATCCTAGCACTTTGGGAGGCAGAGGCAGGTGGATCGCTTGAGCCCAGGAGATTGAGACCAGCCTAGACAATATAGTGAGACCTTGGCTCTATAAAAAATGTTTTTTAATTAAAAAATATAATAATAATAAAGAGCCCACCTGCGAAATATCTCGTAAAGCGACACCAGTGACTGGAACACGTCACACAGGGTTGCTCCATCGTGTTCTGTGTGGATTAAGGGTGTTTTTGTTGTTGTTATTAATTTAAGATTTTCAGGGAGTGAATAAGAATAATCTAAGGAAGCATGTGTGTGCAGTTGAAAGAACCAAGTGCAATACGTGGCTAGCAGCGAGCACCTCATAACCCTGCAGAGACCCCAGGCTGCCTCCTGGTGGCGTTGAGGGGCCAGGCCTCCGCCCCTCAGAGGAGTCTGTTCTTACCAGGTCGGGACTGCCCAAACTCAGGGCAGGCCTCTCCGTGTGCATCGGAGCAGAGCCCCAGTCCTCAATCTCCCCAGAACAACTGCTCAGGGAAATCCGACCCCAAAAATGTGGCTGCACTAAAGGTACCGCATGTCTCCTCTTGGTTCCCTTGGGAGGAGGGGAGAGGAGTGCAGGACATCAAGGATCTGTGTCTTGTCTGGAACGGAGACCTCAGACCCAGCCAGAGCTGCCCAGGCAGGGGTGGATCAGAAATGGGCTTCTCCTTGCCCCATGCCACGAACCAGCCCTGTGGGGATGGTGGGCCCCCTGGAGGCTTTTGGGTGAGCCCCAAGCCTGGGAGCCAACGCTGAGTCCACGTAGTGTGCAGGTACTGCTCAGGCTGCCCGCATCAGTTGCAGGAGGGGTGTGGCCACCACCAGAGCTGTGCTGTGGGGAGGAGGCAGGGCTGGGTGGGGAAGGCGGAGCTTGCAGCACCTGGGATGCACCGGTTCAGCCCTGCCGTTCCCAGCCCCAGCTGTGCACCATTCTGCAGAGCGGGTTTTCTGTGGTTCCCAGTCTTGTCCCTCCGGCTCCTCATTGGAGCCTTCAGCTTCTCGTCGTGCCCTCCTCCCACGTAGCTCTCTAGCCCTGGCCCTTGGGCACCCAGGATCAGCGTAGGGGGTGAGGAAGGGTGGACAGTGTGCCTGCAATGTGCCTGTCTTAGTGACCAGCGGGTTCTCCAGCAGAACCGGCAGATGAAGCACATCTCAGCTGAGCAGAAAAGGCGCTTCAACATCAAGATGTGCTTCGACATGCTCAACAGCCTCATCTCCAACAATTCCAAGCTGGTGAGTTGCCAAGAGCGTGGGCTGTGGCAGGGCAGGGGAGCTGGCAGGACGTGCTCCCTGCGTGGTCATTGCTGGTGGCAGGCCTGCTGGCTGTGGGTGCTGCCTCCAGCCACCTGCCCCTTCTGCAGACCAGTCACGCCATCACACTGCAGAAGACTGTGGAGTACATCACCAAGCTGCAGCAGGAGAGAGGCCAGATGCAGGAGGAGGCCCGGCGGCTGCGGGAGGAGATCGAGGA
Source organism: Homo sapiens (assembly GCF_000001405.40). Taxonomy (NCBI): domain Eukaryota; kingdom Metazoa; phylum Chordata; class Mammalia; order Primates; family Hominidae; genus Homo; species Homo sapiens. Next base: position 79,491 of record NW_011332697.1, read on the forward strand.
GCTCAATGCCACCATCATGTGAGCTTCTGGGCCTTGGGGCTCCAACCAGGCACCCCATCCCGATGCAGGGCCTGCCTCAGAGGTGGTGGGACCCTGTGGCCTCATCACTGGTCAGTGCCTCTTTGCTGCAGTAGTTCTGCTCTTTGTCAACCTCCTTCCACAGACCTCTCTTCTCTGTGCCTGGCTGTGGCCCGGCACTGGGCCAGCCCTGCCATCTTTTGTCCCAGGGTCCTTATTGGCCACTGGCTGCTCCACAGCTCCCACGGCTCCTGTCATTTCAGCTCCTGCCAGCAGCTGCTCCCTGCCACGGGAGTCCCCGTTACCCGGCGCCAGTTTGATCACATGAAAGACATGTTTGACGAATACGTGAAAACCCGGACCTTGCAGAATTGGAAGTTCTGGATTGTATCTTTGGGTTTTCTTTTTGCTCTTCCCGGCCCTCAGCCAATGCACTGAAGCCACAGACCGTGGCACTGTAGTTACTTTAGAAAGACTCTTTAAATGCCTGTCACCAAGCTCCTCACGACAGGCAGTGCTAGTGTCTATCTCGGGAGAGAGTGGTCCGGCCTGGCCTGCTGTGTGGGCTGGAGGTGCTGATGGGGCTTCAGGGTGCTTTGCAGGAAGGGCTAGGGAGGTAGAACGGTGGGCTTCGCTCTCTAGGTCCTTAAGAAATCAGGACAATGCTAGAGCCACTTGCAGAAGGTGCAGGGGAAGGAGGCATGGTTCCACACAGCCTGGCAGCCAGCTCGGTCCTCGAAGCCACAGGGAGGGTGAGTGCCACCCCTGCTGTGACAGGCGGAAACCAGGACTCCCTCCACTGAGTGGTAGAGCCCAATTTGAAGCCTAATGGAGCATGTCCACCTCTAGGGGCTCTCGTGCCAAGGCCACCTTGCACTCAGCCTTCCAGGTGGCAGCACGGCTCTCACGGGGAGTGGTTCCCGCCTGGTCACTCCCCACCCTGCCACCGCTCTGCCTCTGAGTAAACGGTCGGCACATGTGTTGGGTTGACCGTGGCATTGGGGCAAGGGTCTGACAGTCAGAGGTGACGGTCGTGCAGGAGGAGAGAATCCCAGCTGCAGCTATCGGGCAGGGCAGGGCGCAGCACCTGTGTGTGCTGGAAGGGACAGAGTGTTTTTGTTTGTTTCTTTTTTCCCCCTGAGACAGGGTCTCACTCTGTCACCCAGGCTGGAGTGCAGTGGTACAATCACAGTTCACTGCAGCCTCCACCTTCCCAGACTCAAGTGTTCCTCCTGCCTCAGCCTCCTGAGTGGCTGGAACTACAGGCTCATGCCACCACGCCCGGCTAATTTTTGTATTTTTAATGGAGATGGGGTTTCACCATTTTGGCCAGGCTGGCCCCAAACTCCTGACCTCAGGTGATCCCCCTGCCTTGGCCTCCCAAAGTGCTGGGATTACAGGCGTGAGCCACCGTGCCCGGCCATAAGAGGCAGTTTTTAATTGAAGAGATGACAGGCACCAGCTCTGATTCCTCTGTGTTGCTGTTTTACTGCCTGCCCTGGTCCTGATCCCTGTCATTAATAGAGCTGGGTGGCGTCTGGAATGAATCAGAGCTTCTTTGATGAAATGGCATACTCCCCATCATCAGGCCGAGGTGGAGGAACTGTGAGTGCCGTCCTGATCAAAGTCCGAGGGGAAACATGCCTCAGGCCTTCACTAAGATGGTCTAGGAGACTGGCATGCACTTTTGCATTTAACACAGAAGGCAAACGCCACTTTCAGGCAGATGGCTCCTGCCTTTATTTATTTATTTATTTATTTTGAGAACAGAGTCTTGCTCTGTCACCCAGGCTGGAGTGCAGTGGTGCAATCTCGGCTCACTGCAGCCTCCGCCTCCCGGGTTCAAGCGATTCTCCTGCCTCAGCCTCCCAAGTAGCTGGGATTATAGGCACCCACCACCACGCCCAGCTAATTTTTGTATTAGTAGAGATGGGGTTTCACCATGTTGGCCAGGCTGGTCTCAAACTCCTGACCTCAAGTGATTCACCCACCTCAGCCCCCCAAAGTGCTGGGATTATAGACGTGAGCCACCGCGCCCGGCTGGCTTCTGCCTTTCCACCTGCTCTGTGCCTTTGATGTTCCTGGCACTGTATGTAAGAACGATTTTGATCGCATGTTTGTGCTAGGACCTGTTCCAGACTAGAGACCTTCTGTGTCCCTGTCCCCTGCCTGCTCGGTGCTTGAGCGGCCCTGTTGTCCAGGTACAGTTAGAGCAGAGTGTTTTCATGAAGTGGAAGACACACCTTGCCTAGAGATCTCTCCCTCTTTTCCCCAGTGATCCATTCTCTGTGGGCAGATACTTTCCAGCCCCAGGGGAAAGGAGTACGCCAGTCCAACCACCTTCGGGTCTGCAGTCCCCAGCCCCTCTCCGTGCTTGCCTTTTCTTTAACCACACACTGCAGTTCAGCATCATCATCAAGCCGCTGTTTGAGTCGTTCAAGGGCATGGTGTCCACCAGCAGCCTGGAGGAGCTGCACCGGACGGCGCTCTCCTGGCTGGACCAGCACTGCTCCCTGCCCATCCTCAGGCCGAGTGAGTGGGGCAGTGCCAGGGTGGGGGGCTTCATGCTAGTCCTGGAGGGAGGACAGCCCCAGGCTGAGGACAGTATTAGCCAGACTCCACTGCAGGCAGCCAGGTGGGGCCGGGGCAGGGGCACAGTGCTGTCCAGGAGGTCCTCAGTCAGGAGCGCCCAGTGGGGGCAGGAGGCTCCTGCCCTTTTGTGTCTCCCAGCTTGTTCAGACCCAGCTTGCATGGATCTAGTGCCAACTATTTGCCAGGCCCTGTATCAGGTGCCTTCAGGTGTGTTTTCTTGTTTAATTCTTATAACAACAAGCAAAGATTATCCCATATGTTAAGGTTATAGAAGCTTAATATCAGAACAGCTGGCAGCCCCATGGCACCAGGAACAGCATAGGATGCTCCACCTACGGCAGCTCCTGGATTTGGGGAGGCTTCTGGAGGCAGAGGGGTGAGTGCCCAGGTCTCGGTGTCGGCCCCTGGCACTCCTCCCTGCAGTCCAGCATGGCTGCTGCTCGCCCCGTGCCTGAGCATTCCCACATGGGTTGTAGGTACAAAGCCGAGTGTGCGGTGTGTGGTGGGTCTGTGTCACTGCCTGTGTCTGACCCTTTCTGTCTTGCAGTGGTATTGAGCACGCTGCGGCAGCTGAGCACCTCCACCTCCATCCTCACAGACCCGGCACAGCTGCCAGAGCAGGCGTCCAAGGCTGTCACCAGGATTGGCAAGAGATTGGGAGAGTCCTAGCTGCTTAGCTGGCATGTGGCCGCATGAGATGCCAGGAGACCCTTCCCTGCCCATGGAGAGTAGGCTGCGCCCCCCAGCCCTTCCTGACGCTCAGCCTCGGGGCCTCTCTCCAACTCTGCCGGCCCACCGTGGCATCGGGAGGCCATGCTCAGGTCTGAAGCAGGTTTGGGGCCTGCTGACAGCAATAGCCCGCCTTTGGGAACCCCTTGCTGTGAACTCTCTCACTCAGTGACCTCAGTCACCAACCTCCTCTGCCCTCGGGGCAGCCCACACAAAAGGGAAGTGCTGGCCGTGCTGGTCCTGCCCTGCTGGTGGCCTGCCGGGCCTGGCGCCGGTGAGCGGAATCGATGGGATGAGGGTGACAGGGCCTGCTCCTGTCCTGAGGCCCAGCCTTGTCCCTCCTGCCACGTCCTGTCCACATGCATGCCTCTGCCTGATGCCCTGCTCCACTCTCTGGTCTGCCCGTGGGGCAGTTGGAAGGCGTCTTTCTTTCTCCCCTCAACTCTGACAGCACCCAGCCCTTGTGGATGGACTTGGGCTTCTATTCAGGCTTATGCATGGCAGGCTGCCAGGGGGAAGTGCCTTCTTCAGAGGTCCTCCAGGACACATGTGTGCAGAAACGGTGGATGTGGAACACACAGGACCAGAATGGAAGCGTGTGATGCACGGTGGCTGCTCTGGCTGAGAGGCCCTGCTGGGCATGTTTCATCTGTCCCCTTTTAGCTCCACCTGACATTGCAGGATCCATGGGGACTCAGCCCAGGGCCTTCTCGGATGTCACCTCACCGCTGTGGCCCTTCTGCCGTTCTTCTCCACTTGGCTCCAGCTGCAGCTGTTGACAGATCAAGCATGTCCTGTGGGAGCTTAGAACCCTGAAGTTCTAGTGTCTGAAAGATCAGACTCCACGTCCTGCTGTCAGCCTTGTCATCTTGTCTGATGTCTTTCAGCTGGGAGCCCCAAACCAGGACAGTTCTCGGACCAAAGATGCCCCCACACTCAAAAGTCTGTCCCGTCTTGTGTTTGGAGAAGGAAACAATGTTGGCAGGCAGCACTCTGTGGTGGTCAGCCCTCAGAGCTGTTTCTAGGCATCTCTCAGATCAGACAGCAAAGAATCTACCCAGATCTGGGCTGGGTGGAGGTGTGGCTGGGCTGGGGGCCATTCTGAGCCTGCAGTGAGAGTTTGGCCCAGCCTCAGTCCTTGCTCTTCTCTGGCTACCTCTGCAGGGAGCTGCAGGGGCAAGCACTCTCTCCAGCACTCAGGAAGCCCGGCCGAGGGTACCTCCTCGTGGAAAGAATGCACTTTAAAGCTCTGCTGAGGAGTTCGGAGCCCAGGCTTTCAGGCGACCTCTGCCCTCCCTGCCTCTCCTCACCCTCCCTCTCTTCCTGCAGGGCCTGGGAAGGGCTTTGAGGGAGCCTGGGAGCCATGTGAAGAGGGGCACGCCTGGGCTGTCCCACAGTTTAGATCCAGTTGGAGGTTCTCCCTGGCTCCTGCAGGCCTGCGGGGATCTCTCCCCACTTCAGGCCTCCGGCCAGCTGCCTGCCCTCTTGTCTGTGCTTCAGCCCTGCACAAAAGCAGCTTGGTGACACCACTCAGCCACCCAGAGTACGTGTTTACAGGCTTTCCAGATCACCTTCCTGTGGGGTGAACGTAATGAGGCGGGGCTGGTCCTTGGAATTTCCCCTGGAAAATGGTAACAGACTCCATCCTTGACCCGGGGATGAGCATGAAGGCATTGTCCCAAAGGCAGAGGCCACCGTGGTAGGAATTCCACCAAGGCCAGAAGGGAAAAAGGAAGAACCCACCGTGTCTGGCTGTGCGGGCCCTGGGGAGGGTCGTGAGTGCAGCCCCTCTCTACTTCTGTGCCTTTGTAAAACGTGTAGATAACCGCAGTGGTTGGCTGAGCCAAGAACTCTCCTAAATCAGTGGCTTTCTCCCCACCCCTTGCTGGGGAGTCATTTTTAAAAAAATCTGTGGGATATAAAATTGGCCTCCTGCTGCTTCAGCCTACCTCTCCCTCTGCTGACTTAATGTCGTGATTCTGTTTCTTCAGATATTTAAGGCTGTTAGGTTGTGTGAGCCTTGAAGTGTGTGTGTGTGTCCCAGCGACTGTCCACTGTCCAGGAGATGCATGTCTTTGTATTGGAGATATTTCTGTAACTCATTCTCTTGGTGCTCACGATTGCCATGGCCATAGGGCCACAGTGCCGTATCTGCTGCAGACATGATTGTTTCTTGTTCTAGAGGTTTTCTTGTTTTCGAATCTTGCCTGATGAATCCAGCCAGACCAAGGGGCCTAGATTTGACCTCTGTCCTGGGCTCCTGGGCCAGGTGCAGGAACATCTGAGGCCACTCTGCTGGCCACCTCCAGTGGGTGCTGACCACAGGATGGGCTTTGTTTACACTCATTTTCACCCTGATTCTTGCCCCCACTTTCATAAAAGAAACTTCAAAATGCTGACGCTTTGGAGAGTAAGAAAATCAATCTTGGCTGGGCACGGTGGCTCCTGCCTGTGATCCTAGCACTTTGGGAGGCTGAAGCTGAAGGATCACTTGAGCTCAGGAGTTGGAGACCAACCCTGGCAACATAACAAGACCCTGTCTCTACAAAAAAAAAAAAAAAAAAAAAAAATTTAGCCGTGTGTAGCAGTGAGTGCCTGTGGTCCCAGCTACTTGGGCCTGAGGCTGGAGGATTGCTTGAGCCTAGAAGTTGCAGTGAGCTATGATCATGCCACACTGTACTCCAGCCTGGATGACAGAGTGAAACCCTGCCTCTAAATAAAAGAAAATAGAGGCAGACTGTGGTGGCTCACGCCTGTAATCCCAGCACTTTGGTAGGCCAAGGCGGGTGGATCACCTGCAGTCAGGAGTTCACAACCAGCCTGACCAACATGGTGAAACCCTGTCTATACTAAAAATACAAAACATTAGCCACGTGTGGTGGTACACGCCTGTAATCCCAGCTACTCGGGAGGCTGAGTCAGGAGAATCACTTGAACCTGGGAGGCGGAGGTTGCAGTGAGCTGAGATTGTACCACTGCACTCCAGCCTGGGTGACAGAGCAAAACCCTATCTCAAAAAAAAAAAGAAGAAAAAAATAGAAAATCCAAAAAGAAAAACCAGAAGGCCTGCTGGCGTATAAATCCCTGGGCGGGTTTCTGATAAATTGCCCTGTGCTGTCAGCCCCTGCACTGCACTGCTGCCTTCCATGGTGGGTGGGAGACCCCAGAGCGGGGCAGGCGCCACTGAGGGCTTTTCTTGGAGTCGGCCAGCAGGCCACGCAGCATCCGGCACCCTGGGCGGGCTGGCTAGCTGCCTTCTTAGGACATCTCTACTTTGAAGGATTTTACCGCAGGAAGCAATAGCAGCGCTGGCCATTGGTGCTGATGACAGCATTGGGTCTGGTTGAGGGGAAGGGGCTGGAAAGCAGCAGACCCCCCCAGTGCTGCGCATGGTCCCGGAGCTGTCAGCCAGGGGAGTGGGGTCAGCCGTCAGCCAGCCCTCCCATTTCCCGCCCATGGGCCCTGACCACACTCCCTTTTCTAGAAGTCAATCCTAAGGTTTCTCTGCTCTGGCTAAGAGGATGTAAATTTGGATTCTTAGAGGGCATGGCACCCCCAGTCCCTGCCCAGATAAAGTAGCACAGTGGCAGGCAGCACCTCTGTCTGTTGCTGACGTTGGGGGGCTTACACACCCACCTCATCTCCGTGCACAGCCATGACTGGCCCTGCCGGCAGCTGGGGTGCAGGTAAGGGTCTCTCTCATA
>NW_021160009.1:0-7309 GCF_000001405.40 Homo sapiens
CTTTCTGATTTTTTAAGCACGTGTATGATATATAAAATTTCTAAGAACTTATTTACTTACAGTATTTTTATAGAATTCTATTCTTTTCTTGCACACGCCCAATATTTGTGGATATTAAGTATACAGTGAATTAAGTTTTTAAAGTTTTCACCTCATTTCTGAATTTGCTTTGCTTTCTTCTTTCATGTTTTTTATTCTTTTGTTTTTTGAGTGTATATTTTTTCCAGCTTTCTTATGTTAAATAATTAATTTTGATGATTCATTGCATGAAGAATAAGAAATAATAGTTTATTTATACAATCAGACTGTCTTACCGAAATGTAATTATTAATTCAAAATAATAATTACTGTACAATGAGGAAACCCAGTGGGTCATCATATTATCCAGGTAATCAAAATAAACATGATGGAGCAAATCAGTAACTTTTGCCTGAGAAGACCACACATTTCTGCAGTAAACCTGCCAACTTGAATAACCTCATTTTAGTTATGATAAAATATCAAATTGAGGAGTGTTCTATGAAATGTCTTCAGAGAAAAATAATATAAGATGGAAGAGTGAACTTGTAGACAATATCTAAAAAGCATAAATAATAAAAAAATGAGTGAACTATTGTGAAACTAAACTATTCTGATTGACAAAAAACTCTATAGACAAAATTAACCAATTTAGGATAGTTTAAAGATTATATCTAGATAATCTTATACTGGGAGTTAATATTTGAAATATTCAGCAAATTACTGACTGTAAGAATGAATATACGGAAGCCTGTTAGAAAAATTATCTAAGCATAACAACAAGTAGATTATAGACAAAATAGGCTGGTCCCTGAAAGGAATGTACAAATGTATTTGAACTGACATTGTAGGACTGACTTCCTAGTGTAATTCTAACACATTTCATTAGTAGATAGCCACTTTTCATACTCAATAGTTGAGGTCCTCTACGTACCTATCATTAGATGATTGCAGGTGCAAAATGTAGTTTGTATATACTGTGGACAAACAATGCAAGAGTCAGAAACAACCCATTAGATGTAGTTACAGTTACACAGAGAGTTCTTATAAACAAATGGTTGGCTGGAAATATATATCTATATATTTATATATATAGATATATAGATATATATTTATATATATAGATATATAGATATATATTGATATATAGATATATAGATATATATTCATATATATTGATATATACATATATAGATATATAGATACATATTTATATATATTGATATATAGATACATAGATATATATTTATATATATTGATATATAGATATATAGACATATATTGATATATTGATATGTAGATATATATTTATATATAGTGATATATTGATATATAGATATATATTCATATATATAGATATACAGATATCTAGATATATATAGATATACAGATATCTAGATATATATTTATATACAGATATCTAGATATATATTTATATATAGATATCTAGATATATATTTATATATAGATATCTAGATATATATTTATATATAGATATCTAGATATATATTTATATATATTGATATATATAGATATATATAGATATATAAATATATAGATATATATTTATATATGTTTCCATATAGATATATACTTATATATATTTATATATGTTTATATATAGATATATATCTATATATGTTTATATATAGATATATATCTATATGTTTATATATAGATATATATCTATATATGTTTATATATAGATATATATATGTTTATATATAGATATATATCTATATAAGTTTATATATAGATATATATCTATATAAGTTTATATATAGATATATATCTATATAAGTTTATATATAGATATATATCTATATATTTATATATAGATATATATCTATATATTTATATATAGATATATATCTATATATGTATATATAGATATATATCTATGTATTTATATATAGATATATATCTATATATTTATATATAGATATATATCTATATATGTATATATAGATATATATCTATGTATGTTTATATATAGATATATATCTATATATGTTTATATATAGATATATATCTATATATGTTTATATAGATATATATGTATATATGTTTATATATTTTATATATATTTATATAAAGATATATATTTATATATTATATATACATATTTATATAAAGATATATATTTATATATTATATATATATTTATATAAAGATATATATTTATATATAATATATATTTATATTATATATAGATATTTATATATATATTTATACTATATATAGATATATATTTATATATATATTTATATTATATATAGATATATATTTATATATATATATTTATATTATATATAGATATATATTTATATATATTTATATTATATATAGATATATATTTATATATATATTTACATTATATATAGATATATATTTATATATATATTTATATTATAGATATATACTTATATATAGATATATATTTATATTATATATATACTTATATACAGATATATATATTATATATAGATATATACTTATATATAGATATATATTTATATTATATATAGATATATACTTATATATATATATCTATATATAGATAGATATATATCTATATATAGATAGATATATAGATATAAATATATATTTCTATATAGATATGTATGTCTATATATAAATATATATTTATATATAGATAAATATCTATATATAGACATATATATCAATATATAGGTATATATCTATATATAATATAAATATATATCTATATATAGATATATATATATCCATATATATACATATGGATATATATATTTATATATATCTATATAGATATATATATCCATATATATGATATATATATTTATATATATATCTACATAGATATATATATTTATACATATATACTTATATTTATATATAGATATATATTTATATTCATATATATATATTTATATATATTCATATATAGATATATATTTATATATATTCATATATAGATATATATTTATATATATTTTTATATATTCATATATAGATATATGTTTATATATATTTATATATATCCATATATATTCATATATAGATATATATTTACATATATTCATATATATTCATATATTTATATTTATATACATTCATATATATATAGATATATATATATTTATATCTATTCATATATAGATATATATATTTATATCTACTTATATATATTCATATATAGATATCTATTTATATATATTCATATATAGATGTCTATATATATTCATATATAATCTATTCATATATATTCATATATAGATATCTATTCATATATATTCATATATAGATATCTATTCATATATATTCATATATAGATATCTATTCATATATATTCATATATAGATATCTATTCATATATATTTATATATTTTCATAGATATCTATTCATATATATTTATATATTTTCATAGATATCTATTCATATATATTTATATATTTTCATAGTTATCTATTCATATATATTTATATATTTTCATAGATATCTATTTATATATATTCATATATATTCATAGATATATATTTATATATATTTATATATTCATAGATATATATTTATATATATTTATATATATTCATATATAGATATATATTTATATATATTTATATATATTCATATATATATTTATGTATATTTATATATATTCATATATATATATTTATGTATATTTATATATATTCATATATATATGTATTTATATATATTCATATATATATGTATTTATATATATTCATATATATATGTATTTATATATATTCATATATAGATATATATTTATATATTTATATATATTCATATATAGATATATATTTATATATTTATATATATTCATATATAGATATATATTTATATATTTATATATATTCATATATAGATATATATTTATATATATTTATATATATTCATATATAGATATATATTTATATATATTTATATATATTCATATATAGATATATATTTATATATATTTATATATATTCATATATAGATATATATTTATATATATTTATATATATTCATATATAGATATATATTTATATATATTTATATATATTCATATATAGATATATATTTATATATATATTCATATATAGATATATATTTATATATATATTCATATATAGATATATATTTATATATATTCATAGATATATATTTATATATATTCATATATAGATATATTTATATTTATATATATTCATATATAGATATATATTTATATGTTATATATTCATATATAGATATATGTTTATATGTTATATATTCATATATAGATATATATTTATATGTTATATATTCATATATAATATATATTTATATATTATATATTCATATATACATATATATTTATATATTATATATTCATATATACATATATATTTATATATTATATATATTCACATATATCTATATATATTTATATATATATTCATACATATCTATATATTTATATATCTATATATTTATATATTATATATATTTATATATATCTATATATATTTATATAATATATATATCTATATATTTATATAATATATACATCTATATATATTTATATAACGTATATATTTATATATATGTATATATATTTATATATATATAAAAATATATATATTTATATATATTGATATATATCTATATATATTTATATATTATATATATTTATATATATTGATATATATCTATATATATTTATATATTATATATATTTATATATCTGTGTATATAATATATATTTATATATATTATATATTTATATTATATATTTATATATCTATATATTTATAAATATTTTTTTATATATTTATACATATAAATATATATATCTATATGTTTATATATAAATATATATATTTATATATATATTTATATATATTTATATATATTTATATATAGATATATATATTTATATATTTATATATATTTATATATATTTATATATTTATATATATTTATATATATATTTATATATTTATATATATTTATATATATATTTATATATTTATATATATTTATATATATATTTATATATTTATATATATTCATATATCTATATATATTATATGTTTATATAATATATTTATATATTATATCTATTTATTTATATTTATATATTATATATATTTATATATTATCTGTATTTATATATATTTATATATTATATATATTTATATATATTTTTATATATCAATATATATTTATATATATTTATATCTCTATATATCTTTATATATTTATATATCTATATATCTTTATATATCTATATATACTTATATATTTATATATCTATATAGCTTTATATATTTATATATCTATATATTTATATATTTGTATATATGTATATATATTTATATATTTATATATATCTACATATATTTATATATCTATATATCTATATGTATTTATATATATCTATATATATATTTATATATATCTATATATATCTTTATATCTATATATATCTATATATATATCTATATATATCTATATATATTTATACATATCGATATATATATCAATATATATCTATATATTTATACATATCTATATATATATCTATATATTTATATATATTTATATATCTATATGTACATATATACCTATATATATTTATATATCTATATGTACATATATACCTATATATATTTATATATCTATATGTACATATATACCTATATATATTTATATAGCTATATGTACATATATACCTATATATATTTATATAGCTATATGTACATATATACCTATATATATTTATATAGCTATATGTACATATATACCTATATATATTTATATAGCTATATGTACATATATACCTATATATATTTATATAGCTATATGTACATATATACCTATATATTTATATAGCTATATGTACATATATACCTATATATTTATATAGCTATATGTACATATATACCTATATATATTTATATAGCTATATGTACATATATATCTATATATATTTATATAGCTATATGTACATATATACCTATATATATTTATATAGCTATATGTACATATATACGTATATATATTTATATAGCTATATGTACATATATACCTATATATATTTATATAGCTATATGTACATATATACCTATATATTTATATAGCTATATGTACATATATACCTATATATTTATATAGCTATATGTACATATATACCTATATATTTATATAGCTATATGTACATATATACCTATATATATTTATATAGCTATATGTACATATATACCTATATATATTTATATAGCTATATGTACTTATATACCTATATATTTATATAGCTATATGTACATATATACCTATATATATTTATATAGCTATATGTACATATATACCTTTATATATTTATATAGCTATATGTACATATATACCTATATATATTTATATAGCTATATGTACATATATACCTATATATATTTATATAGCTATATGTACATATATACCTTTATATATTTATATAGCTATATGTACATATATACCTATATATATTTATATAGCTATATGTACATATATACCTTTATATATTTATATAGCTATATGTACATATATACCTATATATATTTATATAGCTATATGTACATATATACCTATATATATTTATATAGCTATATGTACATATATACCTATATATATTTATATAGCTATATGTACATATATACCTATATATATTTATATAGGTATATATGTACATATATATCTATATATATTTGTATAGCTATATATATCTATATATATTTATATAGCTATATATATCTATATATATTTATATATTTATATATATCTATATATATTTATATATCTATATATCTATATATTTATATATCTATATATCTATATATATTTATATATCTATATATCTATATATATTTATATATCTATATATTTATATATATCTATATACATTTATATATCTATATATACATATATATCTATATACATTTATATATCTATATATACATATATATCTATATACATTTATATATCTATATATGTATATAGATATATATATCTATATATCTATATACATTTATATATCTATATATGTATATAGATATATATATCTATATATCTATGTATCTATATATATCTATACATCTATATATCTATATATATCTATACATCTATATATATCTATATATTTATATATCTATATATCTATATATATCTATATATTTATATATATCTATATATTTATATATATCTATATATATTTATATATATCTATATATTTATATATATCTATATATATTTATATATATCTATATATTTATATATCTATAT
>NW_009646205.1:0-35455 GCF_000001405.40 Homo sapiens
ATTTATATATATCTATATATTTATATATCTATATATATTTATATATATCTATATATATTTATATCTATATATATCTATATATGTTTATATATTTGTATATATATCTATACATATTTATATATATCTATATATATTATATATATTTGTATACATATCTATATATTTATATATATCTATATATATTATGTATATCTATATATTTATATATCTATATATCTATATATATTTATATGTATCTATATATATTTATATATATCTATATATCTATATATATTTATATATATATATATATATTTATATATATCTATATATATTTATATATCTATATATTTATATATATTTATATATATCTATATATCTATATATATTTATATATATCTATATATATATTTATATATCTATATATTTATATATATCTATATATATTTATATATCTAAATATTTATATATATCTATATATATTTATATATCTAAATATTTATATATATCTATATATATTTATATATCTATATATTTATATATAGATATATACATATATATATATATATAACAAAATGTCATTTATGGAAAACAGAGTCATGGGTCTATGAAAAACACAAAGTCCCTATAAGGGAGGGCAATAAGAATTGGAAAAGAGAGTAAAGCTTGTAAGAAAAAAAGAGTAGATCCCTCTCACTGCTTGCTGCTAATAATCCTTGTGGAGCTGAGGATTATGATAAATTAACATTGTACACTTGATATCTATTTAAAACTTATCCACCACCAAAAGAAACTAGCATCTATAATTTCGTGTTTTAACAAAATTATTACACCAATTTTTTCTTATTGTTACACAGGATTGCATTTGATAATTGTATGTACTCGATGGTGTCTAATAGTATTTATTGCCTAATGATTTTTAGAGAGGAGCGTCTTAAAGTATTTTGTGTTTTAAAGAAAAAAACACCTCTTTAAAGCATTTGTGGCATGAGACACAATTGTGATAATAAAAATACTTCCTAGCACTGCACATTTTAAACTTCATTTTTTTCCAAAATAAATAGTATTAAATGATATCTTTTATGCCTGATGTGTGTTTAGTAGTGATTAAAACCAGAGGCATCTTATGTAGATTTGATAACTTTAAATGAATTAAAATATTTCTGTCAGACTCCTAAAGCTTCATGGAAAGTATGGTCAAAATTTCAAGCTTTAATTTTATCAACCAATTAGGTTTACATAAAGTAAAATTTCCCAAAATGTGAAAACAAGGAGCAGAGATGCTCTCTGAAAATAAGTATTCCATCGATATCCAAATACTCTGGGGACAATTAAATAGTACAACAAGTTTTAAATATTTAAAATTGTTATAAAATATGTTAAATTTTATATTAAAAACCTATTTACATTTTGTAATGCATCATTTTCCAGATGCATTTGATCTGGAATCAAATGCAACCAGTTGCATTTGGTTGCATTTATGTTTATTCACGCCTATTACTATTTTGTATTATCCCAGTATTTTGTGTATTACATCCATGAAATGTTTTGAAATATACAAAAGTAATAACTAGAATTTTAAATATTAATGACAGTAGCCCATAGATACACTGAGTAAAAAAGATCATACCTAGATAATGTAAAACACAGCTGTCTGTTTTCCAGAAATAACTCAGTGCTTTAATTCAAGGTATGTCAGGAATGTCACCTTCATATACAATGGTTAGCATATTTTATTTGCAGTGGTTCTCCCCAATGTAATTTTGACTTCCTAGTTTCAAAGAAGAATTCATATGTGCTGTAAATCAGAGTTTTAGTAAATGACTAAATTTCATCTGCAGATTTATGAGATAAATATATGATCATTAGTCATATACACTCAAGATATAGATTTTTTCATCTAGGTATCTCAACCAAATTACCTTAGAAGTTCAAATAAATCACTTTGAAAAATTTGCTGCATTTTATTTAAAAAAAAACTTTGTGTTAAAACCTTAAGAATGATATCGTATTTTAACTGATCCAAAATTTGAACAAACTACAGTGTACTTACTATATATTACAACTTGATTAAAGGCAATATTTAATAATTAAGAATACAGTCAAGTGAAACTTTAAGATAGTTTTCTATTATTACAAAAATGTTTAGATTACAAATGTCATGCAAAGAGTGTATACTTTTACCACTCAAATACATTGTTTTAAAATATTTTCTGACTGATTAGTTTTTAATCAAAGCATGGATTCCCATGTTATGATTATTGAAAATTAATATTATATACATATATAAAGGTCTCAATTGTACTCTATAATCTTAACTTATTAAATTAGTAGTTATACAATATCTCATATAATAAGTTAAAGAAAATTTCTTTAATCAATGCAATAATGAAGCTACTGAGAAGTCACAGACAAGTTTAAAATATATCAATTAGGCATTTTATAATTATTTCCTTCTTATAAAGAATATTCAGTAAATATTCTAAAGTTTATTGATAAATCACTTACTCCTGAAATAATAAAAAACTGTCTCATATTACATCCAAAACAACAGTAGGTATTTTAGCCGATAGTCCTGGCTATATTACTTACCTATTTTTTCCATGTTAGAAATCTTACAAAAAGAAATATTCGAAATTTAATGTGAGTTTCAGTATAACATTTTCTCATCTTGAGGACATTTTGCCAAGCTGGTTTAGCTGTGCTTTCTCTTTGTACATGCTGTTGGTAATACTTGACGAGATTTGATGGTTTTATTAGAGGCTTCCACTTTTGCTTGGCACTCATTCGGTCCTGCTGTCCTGTGAAGAAGGTGCCTGCTTCTCCTTTGTCTTCCACCATGATTGTAAGTTTCCTGAGGCATCTCCAGCAATGTGGAATGGTGAGTCAATTAAACTTTTTTCCTTAAAAATTACCCATTCTCGGGTATTTCTTCAAAGCAGTGTGAGAACACATTAATACACCCACATTATGTGTTTACCTTTGTCAGAATGAAACACTGGCTCAATTCATTGGAGTCTAATATAATCAGTTATTATTTCTTTAAAGAAAGATGCCTTCTCAGGGACTCAGTATTGGTCTCCATTGCTGGCTAGTCATTCAGCAGTGGTTGTAGCTAAATCAGCCTTGGGACTTTCACCTCTGCCATCATGGCCTCTTTGCTCATGTGCCTATCATATTAGCACGGGATTGACTGAGGACAGAGGCTGACTGATGTCAGCTAGCTGAGCAATTGTGCATATTTTTTTGTTTAGGTCATCTTCTTTGTTGTATACTATATAATGGATGTTCATATTTGATAGTAATCTTCACCCTTCATATCCATTTCCATAGATCAATCTATACATCTCTAGCATAGAATTTCTTGTTCTACATCCTTCAATCTTTTTCCTTCCAGACCCCTGACTCATCCAAGACATCTGTCACTGCCCATGTGTCACTTTATTTTCTAATGATGAGTGACTTCTCTTTCTACAAATTATAGATGGCTAATTGCTCAAGCAAAACACTGTACATCAGAAAAACTTTACATCATTACTCTCTTTCAAGGCCACACTAAAATAACTTCAGGTTTTTTCCCCTGCTTGTAAAGATTCTACTCACAGCCATAGGTATAATGATGGATGAGGCACTGGTACAGCCGTAGTGCATGATGACCTGAACTTCTGGGATTACTTCTCATGCAACTTGCTTGTGACCTGTGTTCCCACTTCTGCTATATCCTGGATGAGCCCACATTATCATGTAGACAGGGCGCCTCTAAAATACCCAACCCATGATGGACAATTGTGATGGGGTCATCTCATAAACAGGTATTTTCTATCAGGACCAAGTAGCTAATAAACAGGTATTTTCTATCAGGACCAAGTAGCTTTCCAGCAGTCCAGTAGACTTTTCTGCGGTTTTTTGTTTGTTTGTTTGTTTTTCCTCAAAAGGTATATCATCTTCCATGGCAAAGACTATGACCTTGCTCCAAATACCAGAGTGGGGTGCTATCTTGTAATTCTCCCACTGGGACTTTCTATAAACACTACAGTCATCATATGTTCTCTTTTTCAGCTCTAGCAATGGTAACACATACGGAAAATGATTGCAAGTGGGTCTACTATTCTTTTTTTTAATTTGCAGTAGTCTACAAAGATTTTTGAGGATGCATCTGGTTTTGGCAAGTCCCAGACTTGTGAGTTAGATGGTGATATTTCAGGCCACACTACCCCTGTTTGTTTGTTTGTTTTTGAGATGGAATTTCAGTCCTGTCGTCCAGTCTGGAGTGCAATAGTGCAATCTTGGCTTACCGCAACCTCCGCCTCTCAGGTTCAAGCGATTCTCCTGCCTCAGCCTCCCAAGTAGCTGGAATTACAGGCGACTGCCACCACGCCCGACCAATTTTTTGTATTTTTAATAGAGACAGGGTTTCACTATGTTGGCCAGGCTGGTCTTGAACTCCTGACCTTGTCATCCGCCCACCTCAGCATTGCAAAGTGCTGGGATTACAGGCGTGAGCCATCGTGCCCAGCCAAATCCTTCAGTTTTAAAAATGGCACCAGTTTCTGCTAAACTCCCTAAAATATCTTGTTTTTAAACAATATGAATATAAATGTAAATATAAATATAATATAAAATGTACTGTTTTTGATATGCTATCTCAGCCAAAGTATGAGGACAGTTTCAGAGTAGTCCACTTGGCCTTGTGCACTAGGCCTATTAGAAAAGGGCTTATATCAACAACTGTGTATGTTTACTGCAATATAACCAGTAAAAAATAACCAGAGTGAATCTTCAAATGTAGAGGACACTCTGAGAGTTGGATTTTGGCCAGATCTGCATTTATTACCCAATACGCCCGAGCTCCAATTTACCACAAGACCCTGATAATGGCCTGGGTTCCTGGGATCAATGTAGACTTGAAACTTCAGTTCAATTTTTCTCACAGTGTTCAAATCTAATTTCCTAGTTGAAAGGCCCCTGAAAAATGTCTATAGGTCCCTCTGTGGACTGGCTAGGGGAATCAATATGATTAAATTGACAGAATAGAGAACACAGAAGTAAGGTCACATATCTATATCCAACAGATCTTTGACATACCTGACAAAAGCATACACCAGAGAAATGATATCCTTTTCAATAAATGGTGCCAGGAAAATTGGATTGCCATGTGCAGAAGAATGAAACTGGACCCCTATCTCTCATCATATGCAAAAAATCAACTCAAGATTAATTAAAGATTTAAATATAAGACCTGAAACTATGAGAAAAAATTGGCCTAACAAAATAGGAAGCAGACTATGGCTTTTGCTGTAAGTACAAATTTTTAAATTATATATATATATTGATATATATAAAACTATATTTATATATATTGATATATATAAAACTATATTTATATATATTGATATATATAAAACTATATTTATATATATTGATATATATAAAACTATATTTATATATATTGATATATATAAAACTATATTTATATATATTGATATATATAAAACTATATTTATATATATTGATATATATAAAACTATATTTATATATATTGATATATATAAAACTATATTTATATATATTGATATATATAAAACTATATTTATATATATTTTTATATATATAAAACTATATTTATATATATTTTTATATATATAAAACTATATTTATATATTTTTATATATATAAAACTATATTTATATATATTTATATATAAAACTATGTTTATATATATTTATATATAAAACTATGTTTATATATATTTATATATAAAACTATGTTTATATATATTTATATATAAAACTATGTTTATATATATTTATATATAAAACTATGTTTATATATATTTATATATAAAACTATATTTATATATATTTATATATAAAACTATATTTATATATATATTTATATATAAAACTATATTTATATATATTTTTATATAAAACTATATTTATATATATTTATATATAAAACTATATTTATATATATTTATATATAAAACTATATTTATATATATTTATATATAAAACTATATATATATTTATATATAAAACTATATTGATATATATTTATATATAAAACTATATTTATATATATTTATATATAAAACTATATTTATATATAAAACTATATTTATATATAAAACTATATTTATATATATAAAACTATATTTATATATATATTTATATATATAAAACTATATTTATATATTTATATATATAAAACTATATTTATATATATAAAACTATATTTATATATGTATAAAACTAAATATATATTTATATATAAAACGATATATTTATATATAAAGCTATATATATTTATATATATAACTATATATTTACATATAAAACTATATATATATTTATATATAATTTTTCTGTTTATTTCCTCTGTTTCTCATTCCTTTGTTTCTCTTTTCTTGACTTACTGTGGGATGCTTGAACATGATTTACGATTTCTCCTTGATTTATGTATAGTGCATTTTTAAGTTATTGCTTTGTATGGTTTTCTTCATAGTTGTTCTAAGTATTAAAATATGCATAAGCATTTTAACACAGTCTACTGATATTGCTGCTTTCTCTCCAAGTAGAATTAATGTAAAAATCTTCTAATTATATCCATTTACCCTCCTCAATTTGTGTTATAATTAAGAATTCACTTGTCATGTACTGTACACAATGTATTTTATAATTTTTACTTCAACAAACTGATGTAATTCAATAAATTTATAAGAATAGTATATTACATTTACCTTTATTTCTATTAATTTCAGTGTTCTTTCTTTTCTGAAGTTCCAAGAACTTCATTTAGCTGTTTTTTTAAGGTTAGTGAAAATTTGTCTTAGTTTTCCTTCATCCAGTGATGTTTTATTTTGTCTTTATATCTGACGGATAGTTTTGTCACATATAGAACTTGCACTTGATGATTCTTTTAGTGCTTGAAACATGTGATGCTATTTCTTTTTTACCTACACTGTTTCAGAGGAAAAATCTACTGTTTTAGAAATTTTTTTCTCTATAATTTGTCATTTCTCTATGAATGCTTCCAAGATTTTTCTTTATAATTAGTTTTTTGAGAGTTAATTATCATGTGTCTTAGCATTTTTTTTAGGTTTATCTTATTTGAGATTCAGATTCTTAAATCTGTAGATTTATGTCTTTCACCAGACTTGGGGAGTTTTCATCCACATTTCCTTTGAATATTTTCTCAGACCCACATTCTTTCTCCAAGATTCTGTACTTTTTTTTTAGTCTATTTACTTCTGTATTACTCAGATTTGATAAATTAAATTGATCTGACCTCTAGTTCACAGAGTCTGTACTGTTATCTCCACTCTACTATTAAGTCCATCCAGATGTTTTGTGTTTTTTTTGTCATTGCATTGTTTAGCTCTATAATTTGCATATAGTTATTTTCTGTAACTTTTATATCTTTATCACATTTTTTTCTTTTTTTATTTGATTCAACAGATTCATCATTCTTGCTAAAGCAATTTTGTGATGACTGATTCCAAATCTTAGTTAGATAAATCTAACCTCTGAATCATTAATTGGATGTAGGCAAGGTGGAGTGAATGCTCAACTCCCCATTCATCACTGCTGAAATTATGGGGGCATGAAGAGAATGGTTTTCTGAGGTTGTTTGACTGGAGTATAGTTTGTATTATGAAAAATGTTTCCTGTTTTTTTAGGCCAATTTTTTTCTCAGTCCTATGGCTACAGAGTCAGATTTTTTGTGTGTGTACTTTTATTTGTCATTGCCTGTTGGTGTTTCTGGCTTGTAGACTTCTGCAACGTCCTGTCTGAGATATATGAAAGCCAGTAAGGAAACCAAGGACCCATTGCTGAGTCATTCCTCAAAGCACAAGGTCTTTTAGTAGGCTGCCAACTTCTTTCCAACTTTTCCAGTTTTTCCTATGCTTGTTTGTTGTTTTGGCTCAGTATATTTTAGTAGCAAGAGGAAGGACCTAGGAGGAATAAGGCTATCCATCTTGGCCAGCTCTTAACTGTTGTTATAAATCTCTGAGGATCAGGTCTCCCTGTGATGGTCTGACCTTGCTACTTGCCACTTATTACAGTAATTGCATCCACCTGGACTCTATTATTTTGGAGCCCTGCCATGCACACTGATTATTTGGATAGAGTCCAGCATGGGTCCCTTGCACTCCTACACATACTGTTGGATTTGTCACTTTTCTTAGGATTGTTTATGCAGCTACTAGTTCTGAAAAATCAGGTCATATTTTCCTCCAGACAAAAAGCCACCTTGCTTCTGCTTGCCAGTAACTTTAATATTACTCTGACTATGGCTATTGCTGTAAGTACAAATTTGTCTCTGATCCAGGAGAATCTTATCCTTCGCTAGTATCCATGAAATTTTGGCAGACCAAAGTATTACCTTCCATTAAGAGTAAAATCAATACCTTCATAGCCATCATCAAGCTTATGTCCTTAATAATTTCCTATATTATCATTCCTTATCTATGGAAGACAGATACTGTGTTTTCTTTCCAGTGCATTCCTTTTTGTCTTAGTGAGACACGTATCCCGTTTCTTTTAACAGAGCATAATTATTTGTTGTATATGTCAGTTTTACATAATTATTTGTTGTATATGTATATGTCAGAATAGATAACATATCTATTCTATCTTATTTATTTCTCTGGGCATTTTAAATACTTCTTCTATGGTCTGTCACAATAATTCTGATGTACTAACTATATTTAGTATTAGATATAACTTTTACAATACATCTAGGAGCCATTGTAGTGGCAACTTTGCACAGTCTCATGTGGCCCTTTACAGAATTTTAAGTCATGTATCCAGAAATGTGTTCCTAATTTGATTGTATTCTGACTCCTGCTGGTACATACCAGCTAAACCTTACAGCTGCCTTAGAGATTTAGTCATTTTTTCTTATCAGAGCCAGAACATCACTGATGAGGTTATACTGTTGCTTAATTTTAGCAAGACATCCTTCCAAGAAGAAGGTCTAAGAGCAGAATTGGGGTAGGGAAACATGAGAGAAGAAACTTCTGCATCAGCTCCAAGCAAGGAGAAAACACTAGATCTCAAAAAGGAGGACAAGGCCACTTTTCCATGCTCATTAGGTTCAAGAAAACATACTGATTCACAGTCTGATTATTATCAACCCAGATGCTGTTTGCCTCATATTATGTGTCAATGTTTTATGCTTTTGTAACTGGTTTATGAACTTGGCCAAACAGATCTGCCCTGTTTGGGAATTTAATACTCTTTGGAGCTTGGCTATTCTTTTGATTAAATCCCAGATCTGGTCCCCAGATTTTTTTTTCTCCCTTTTATTTTAGGAAAACAGTGTAAACTACCCAGAGGACATCTAGTTACACATTTAGCATTCAGTTAGCAATTCATCTGGCTCAGACTTACATTATATTCTTCCAGAGCTCTGTTGCTCTTATCGATAGCCATCAAGTACATTATTTTATGTCCCCCATATATCTAAAATGCTTGATGTATCCCAAGTTAATGAATTATTTCCATCAGTATATGTCATTATATATGCCACTAGTATAAGTGCTAGTAGTTGTACTGCCCCTTTTGTAAGACGTGCTGCCATAGATGGGACCCTCATTGTTAGGCTGACAGTGAGGTATTCCATATTACAGCTTTCTTTTTAAGATTGTCACATATTGGTTTCTGTAAAAAGCCATTTCCTAGGTGAATTTTTGCATGCAGGTTTCTATTCTTTATTGTGCAGATGTTTTTTTGGATAAACACTTCTGGAAGAAGAGGGAGGGAAACAGGAGTGGAAAGAGGAAGAAATCAGCCTGCATTGAAGGCCCAACAAGTCTCAGTCTTTTTTTTTTTTCTTTTGAGACAGTCTCACTCTGTTGCTCAGTCTGGAGTACAATGGCACGATCTTCGTTCACCGTAACCTCTGCCTCCTGGGTTCAAGCGATTCTCTTGCCTCAGCCTCCTGAGTAGCTGGGATTACAGGCGTGTGCCATGATGCCTGGCTAATTTTTGTATTTTTAGTAGAGACGGGGTTTCACCAGGTTGGCCAGGCTGTTCTTGAACCCCTGACCTCAGGTGGTCCACCCGCCTCAGCCTCCCAAAGTGTTGGGATTACAGGTGTGAGCCACCCCACCCAGCCTCGACAGAGTTTTACTTCAGACGTGTCTCAAAGTGAGTGGGTCCAGTTGGTCCCTAAACTCATCTTGTGGTTATTTTTTCAATTCCAGAATGCATAATTGAAATAGATATACTTAGCAGCGTGGAGAATTTCCATATTGGTTTCCTGATATGTGGTATGAGGGCTCTTATGATGGGAAAGGCTAACTGGAAGCCATTAGAGCTGCCTCTACCTAAGAAAATAGCAAATAATGACCAATATTGCATACTTACATGGCTGGCAGAGATCAGTATCACCATCAAAAACTTTAAAGATGTAAGTATGTTGATTACCACCACATTCTCATTCAACTTGCCTACTTAAGCCTTGTGCAGAAAACAGATGAACCTCTGAAAGAATTGTGGATTATTGTAAACCTGACCAAGTGGAAACTCAAGTTGCAGCTGCTGTAGCAGATGTGGTTTCATTTCATAAAAGTAAAACACATCCTGATACCTGTATGCAGCTATTGATCTGGCAAATGCCTTTTTCCCATCCTTATTCATAAGAAATAATAGAGACAGTTTGCTTTCATCTGATAAGGCCAGCAATACACCTTTACTGTCTTAACTCACAGGTTCATCAGCTTTTCAGCTTGATGTCATCATTTAGTTTACAGAGATCTTGATGTCTTTTTCCTTTCACAGATGAATTACATTGGCCCATTACATTGATTAAATTATTCTGATTGAACACTTGTGTGCAAGAAGCAGCCACTATTTATTACTTATTAGTAAAACTTTTGTGTGTCAAAGGGTAGAAAATACATCTGATAAAAATTCAGGGGGCATCGGGGGGTCCTACTTCAATGGAAATTCTAGGAGTTCAGTGGTGTGGGGCATGTTGAAATATCCCTTCTAAGGTGAGGGAAAAGTTGTTGCATCTGGCACCTCCTACAACCAAAAAAGAAACACACAATAGGCCTAGTGAGCCTATTTGGATTTTTAAGACAATATGTTCCTTATTTGGCTCTGTTACTCCAGCCCACTTACCCTGTGACTGCAAAACTACTCATTTTGTATGAGGCCCAGAGGAAGAGAAGGCTCTGCAACCAGTCTAAGCTGTTGTGCAAGCAATCCAGCAGACCTGCTTAAAGATTAGATTACTGCATATTGGAAAAGATGAGAACAGTTTCAAAAAATATTGTATTTGGGAAAAATACAAAACGTGAGGTGTATTTTGACATGCACAGAATACATTTCTAGAGGTGGAAAAACACAAAAATAGTAAATTAAGAAAATTTTGATATATTTAGAGAAGACTAGTAGACTAATGTGAGAAAAAATACACTAATAGTTCAAAACAAAAATTAAAAAATATATAATTTGAGACTAAGGTATGTGTAAGGTACATGGGTGTACTTTGGTCAACAATAGGCTGACGCAGACATCTGAGCCAGAGTGACTCAGCGAGTTTGGAGTGCAGGTATATAACTCCACTTGTTATATAACCTGTTTGTGTAAGCTCATACATGGCTTGGAGCCACTATTGTTTGAAAAAGATATAACTGCCCTGCTGACACTGTATAGGCACTCTTGCAGCCAGAGAAAGAGAGAGTGCTAAAGCTGTCCATCTTGTAGACGGACAGGGGGAAGCTAGGGCATGGCACAGCTCGTCTCACACACACCCAGAGAGACAGTATTGCTACTGACCCCTGTAAAGGAGAGCCAGTCACCTTGAAGGCCAGCAGGGGGGATCCAGAAACCAGCTTGTGCCCAGAGGGAAAGAGTTAAGCTGCTGACTCTGACAGAGCTGGCCTTGCAGGCCAGGGAGTACAGCTTCAGGCATGGGGGTGGCAGGAGCCACAGAGCCGGCTGCTGATATGAGACACAGCTGGAGCAGAAAGCTGAGTTAAAGGCGGACAGCATGAGACAGCTAGCGTGAGTAAGCTGCTAATGAGAGAGCTGCTGAATAAAACTACATCTCACCTGCCTACCCCTGAAATGGGGTAAAATTATATGAATTATTAAATTAAGTTTAGCCTAAAGCTGTGTCCTTACATATTTTAAGTTCAGTAAAGGTTCTTCTGTGCATAGTGAACAGTATCTTAACTGGATGTGTAAACAGACTGCAACCTACTCTTGTACCAATCACCAAGTTTCAGCCAATTAAAGGTGGCCAACTGTTCAAACCATACTCAAATAAGGCAAACTCTGAGCTGGAACCAATCCAGCAGTTTCTATACCTCACTTCTGTTTTCTGCATGTCACTTTCCTTTTCCTGTTCATAGACACTCTATGACCATGGGACAGTGCTGGAGTATCTCTGAATCTAATCTTGTTTGAAGGCTGCCTGGTTTGTGAATTGTCCTTTGCTCAATTAAACTCTGTAAAATTTAACTGTAGAAAGGTTTTTTTCTTTTAACATTATTAATCTGAAACAGGATGGCAGGGTTTAAAGATGGTGGTGGTGATGGTGGCAGTGAGGATGATGACTGCTATTATATTGATTGTAATTGCTTACGTGTGTATGTGTGCATGCCTATGTCTGTGTAGTTCTGTGCAGGTAGGAAGAGAGAAAGAACGGGGAAAGGAAAAGGAAAGAGGAGAGACATAATTTAACAAATGTCTTGTTTTCCAACTGAAGAAAGAAAAACAAGCATTGCTGAGAATGCTAGCAATGATGGGATTTCTCCTTCCTATTTGCTTGGTGTCTCTGCCTCATATTTCTCAACCTTCCCTTTTCAGGGGAATACAAACAGCCAAGACCTGTGGAATTTACATATGTAGTTACACTCTTCTCTCATTTCTAGTCCTACAATTACAACACTAATTCATATTCTTAGTTTTATCTCACCGGGACCGTTGCAATAGTGTCTTAAATAGTCTCCTTATGTTCAGTCTCTTTTCTCAAAAGCAACACATATGCTGTGTTTTTATTTACTTTGGCTCCTTAAAAGTTTCCCATTCTTCAATGATAGGTGCTTAGGCATTTGAGGAACTCCATTGTCTAGCTTATGTGGTTCCAATTGTCATTTATTGCTATTTTACACATACTTTGTGTCATTGATTATTTTTGCCACTGACACTGGAATTTTCAGACTATTACTTTTCTTAAATTTCTCATTTCGGCCCATAAAATCTCTTCCTTTACCACTATCTAGTAAAAATTATTACAATCACTTATATTTTCAAACACTGTTTCTCCATCTAGTCTGTGTGAATCTGAACTTATAATTTTTTCTTCAGATCATAGTTTTATGCAACTAATAATAAGGTAACCTACATAATAACTATATGTGTGATTATTACCTGCCTTAGTCTGATAAGTTACAGTTTAAGAGTAGATAAATTTAAAGTCTTTTAAAATTATTTTATTAGCCTTTAATGTTGGTAAGGAATAATTGTAAATGTCAGTTTGATCAACTTTTGCAGATTCATTAAATTTTAAAAAATCTTGTGGATTTTAAAGCAAGTGCTAATTTATGCAACTCTCAAGTAATTGTTTTATTTGGGGGGACACGACATATTCTTCATTTCTTAAATTTTATTTACACATTTTGATAACTTGG
The DNA here is from genome assembly GCF_000001405.40 of Homo sapiens. Taxonomy (NCBI): domain Eukaryota; kingdom Metazoa; phylum Chordata; class Mammalia; order Primates; family Hominidae; genus Homo; species Homo sapiens. The sequence continues at coordinate 13,634 of NW_009646205.1, forward strand.
TAACCTATAAAAAGCAAAATATCAAGTAAGTCCTGAAACTACAGCATATTATTACTGTAGAATATAGTTTTACTGTGAAAAATGAACAGAAAGTACTAAAAACACAGAGTAACTTAAAAGAATGCTAATATAAATGTATTTACAACCTACAAGTTGTAATCGCTTTTGATTACATTTGAATATGGTTTGAACACAGCAACTTAAAAGAATGGTAATATAAATTTATTTACAACCTATAGACTAATCCAATAAAACAGTTAAAAATATTTAAACATAGCCTTATCCAGTTTTGTTTTTTGTAAATGCCAAAGGCTTAGTGTTTCAAATGATCTGCATTTTCAAAGATCAATATTGCTATTTTTAATTTTTTATATTTATCTAAGTTCTAACTATAGTATATAACATTTACATGTGTGGCAAACACTATTTTAGAAGTTGGAACTTTAAATATTAACTCTGTTATTTTATATATTAGCAGCAACTAATTCTAGAAGTCCCAAAACTTTTGGAAACTTATTTAGAGATGCATATATATTTGAAAAAAAAATTAGAAAGTTTTAATAAAAGCAAAGATTAATTAGTCTTTTATCTTTTAAAGGATTCACAATATATAAATTTTATACCCCTTCAATATTATCTTCATTCTCATAAGAACCCAGGAAATAAAGTATATCATTTGTGAATATATTGACATAATAATAATGATAAAAAACTAATATTAATTCATAATTTAATATATACCAGCAATTTTACTATGCTTATGACATGAATAACTTATTTAAAACACTCCCATTTTACAGTTGAAACCATGAATGGTTCAGAAACATGCCTGACTTAAGAGAGTGGAATTTGGCTGGAATTCCAGGTTTGACCTTCTCCACTGCCAGGGTTTTAAGACCTACTGGTGCTTCACAGACCTGCAATTACTTTTTATTAAATTGCTAAGTCCATGCCTATGTCTTTGCATTTTGATCTGCATTTTACATTATTTATCATTTATTTTCGGGGACTTCAAAGTGTAAAGCGCTTATTTTAGGCCCTGCAGTGGGAAGGAGACATGCAGGTTAATTTTTCCTGCCACATTTATCCTACACATTTCTGAGAGACAGAGCAAAAGCTGTGAAGGGGGATCCAAAGTGTCAGGAAACAAAAGCTTACATCAACAGTAAAGACAAAGAACAATAAACTATGAATGTAGGTTTATTCAATACATTCGCCTGACAGATTTAATTTCTGCTCATTAGAATTGTATTTATGATGGTAAAATACGACTTTGCAATATATTTTTTATAAGGTAAAATGCACAAAAATTTTATAGTAGATATTTTTGTTCTCTTCTAGGACTCATGCTGTTTATGAATTTATAAACTATTAAAAATATTAAAACATGTTTAGTAATTCATATTCTATATTATTGTAATTTTAAGTATTTTGGATAAGAATTAAAAATATTCATTTGTTAAGCAATGACTTATTTCTGTTTGCAAAGTTTTAATAAAATGCAAAACCATATTCAGGAAAGATGGTTTAAAATTTTGCAGACACTTATCACGTGATGGTGCAGAGATGCTATTACTGTAACTGTGATTGCATCCTCTACACAATTTCACCAAATTCTGATTGTTAAGTCTATTTGTGTCTTTTTTATTTCTTCCTTACAACAGGTAAGCTAATCTTGCCATCTCTTTGTCCGTTGCCTGCGAGAATGTTTGGAGTCTCTCAAATTGAATCCAGTTACTTCGTAGCAGGTCCAGCCTTGTCAATGCCAATAAACATGGTCCAACAAAAAGGAAATAAGTAATACAGTCAGTCTAAAGAAGAAAACTGGCAGGTCTGCCATGCATTTTATGCTGACCACTGCGCTTCTACTAATTTAGACTAAAGTCACATGAACTACTTCGGCATTTACGTCAAAATGTTAAGTCATTGATGTTTGTGTCAACTGAAGTCCATAAGAATTTTTGTTTTAATATAATCTGCTGTTACGGCCATTTGGTTCTTTGAAATTAATTTCATGGCTTTCACTTGCAGTTATTAGAGGTCACTTGTCAGATGTGGTCTATTTTTCTAGTCTGTCAAAATCATCTTTGTGTCACAATTTTGTTCTCTAATGTTTCATGTTAACAAAAATATATCTATATGCTATCTATATGCTAAAATTAAGCCAATGATAAATATATTCAATAAACAAAGGTCAAGTTTAAAATATAATTTATTATTATTATTTTGAATACCCTTATTCAAAAATTACATCCACAGTTTAAAAATATTTTATTACTGCAGAGCAAGCACCATGTTAAGCATGATTTCCCCTTGAAATTAAATACCCTTATTCAGAAAACATATATATATACACATATTCATTTATATTGTATGTATAGTTCTTGTTCTATCATATATTTAGATAGTTTTCAGTATTTCCCAAATAGGCTTACAAAATATTAGGTTTATTCCATCATTTTTGTCATAAAATCCTTTTAAAATGATATTTAAGAATGTATCAATGTTAACGCTGTCTGATAATGAAACCATTATTATTTACACAAAAACTTCATGAAGATAGCTAAACAGACAAACAAACTCTCCCTAACTGAAGTAAAAACTAACATACAAATTGATGCTAAAGTCATGAAAGAAAAAGAGATGACCTATGCAAAGGAAATCTATGCTCAAGATTTCTGTAAGTCTGTCAGGTCAGAAAATAGAACATGCAGCAAACATGAAAATGAACCTTCTTCTACCTTTTATAGAATATGTTAGTTCACTGATGTTGAAAGAACAATATATTTAAATTAGTAACATCAATACTAAATAAAAAATTCTGTTGATTATTTTATTTTTTAAATTAAAATGTTGATTAAAAGCATCAATTATTTAAAATAATAGTAAAATTAGTAGACAACCCATACAACATATTTTACAATTGTTACATATCTTATTTAATAGATAGGCATGGGCAAGGACTTCATGTCTAAAACACCAAAAGCAATGGCAACAAAAGCCAAAATTGACAAATGGGATCTGATTAAACTAAAGAGCTTCTGCACAGCAAAAGAAACTACCATCAGAGTCAACAGGCAACCTACAGAATGGGAGAAAATTGTTGCAACCTACTCATCTGACAAAGGGCTAATATCCAGAATCTACAATGAACTCAAACAAATTTACAAGAAAAAAACAAACAACCCCATCAACAAGTGGGCGAAGGATATGAACAGACACTTCTCAAAAGTAGACATTTATGCAGTCAAAAAACACATGAAAAAATGCTAACCATCACTGGCCATCAGAGAAATGCAAATCAAAACCACAATGAGATACCATCTCACACCAGTTAGAATGGCAATCATTAAAAAGTCAGGAAACAACAGGTGCTGGAGAGGATGTGGAGAAATAGGAACACTTTTACACTGTTGGTGGGACTGTAAACTAGTTCAACCCTTGTGGAAGTCAGTGCGGCAATTCCTCAGGGATCTAGAACTAGAAATACCATTTGACCCAGCCATCCCTTTACTGGGTATATACCCAAAGGATTATAAATCATGCTGCTATAAAGACACATGCACACATATGTTTATTGCAGCACTATTCACAGTAGCAAAGACTTGGAACGAACCCAAATGTCCAACAATGACAGACTGAATTAAGAAAATGTGGCACATATACACCATGGAATACTATACAGCTACAAAAAAGGATGAGTTCATGTCCTTTGTAGGGATATGGATGAAACTGGAAACCATCATTCTCAGCAAACTATTGCGAGGACAAAAAACCAAACACCACACCTTCTCACTCATAGGTGGGAATTGAACAATGAGAACACATGGACACAGGAAGGGGAACATCACACACTGGGAACTATTGTGGGGTGGGGGCAGGGGGGAGGGATAGCTTTAGGAGATACACCTAATGCTAAATGACGAGTTAATGGGTGCAGCACACCAACATGGCACATGTATACATATGTAACAAACCTGCACATTGTGCACATGTACCCTAAAACTTAAAATGTTAAAAATAAATAAATTTATACGTAATTTACCATACTAAAGAATGCAGCGCTAAGTGAGAAGCAACTGAAAGAACTAAGATCAAATGTGATAGTTAAGACTAAATATAGATTTGGGGAGCTTCAAGTCAACAATAAAGGACCAAGGGTTCCGAGCGGCCTCGTTAATTGACGTGAGCGAATTCAGATGTAACTCAAGCTTCATAGAGGGCTTTTCAAAAATAAAAAGCTGATTCCGTGCAAGAGAGCAAAGTTGCTGCTTACTGTTCAGAGACTTACAGGTGCTTGCCTGCATTGCAACAGGGACTCATTTATTCAGCAAGACTTATATTTTTCTCTTCGTTTTGGAGAGCCTAATAAACTGTTATTAGAACTTCTCTACTGACTTTCAAAATTTTGAAGTTTGAAAGACACCTTTGCAACTAAAACAGCATGAGCACGGCCAGAACAGAGAACCTTGTTATAATGGGTCTGTCCAGTCAGAATGGTCAGCGGAGGGGCCCTGTGAAACCCATTAGTGGCCCTGGAGGAGGGGGCACCCAGACACAGCAACAGATGAACCAGCTAAAAAACACTAGCACAATCAATAATGGCACCCAGTAGCAAGCACAGTGTATGACCACCACTATTAGGCCTGGTGACGACTGGAAAAAGACTATAAAACTCCCTCCAAAGGATCTAAGAATCAAAACTTCGGAAGTGCCCTCCACACTCCAAACAAGAAAATGAGTTTGAAGATTATTGTTTGAAACGGGAGTTACTGAAGGGAATTTTTGAAATGGGCTGGGAAAAGCCACCTCCTGTTCAGGAGGAGAGCATTCCCATTGCTTTATCTGGTAGGCATATCTTAGCTAGAGCAAAACATGGAACAGGCAAGAGCAGAACCTACCTCATTCCCTTACTTGAACGGCGAGATCTGAAGAAGCACAATATACAAGCAGTGGTGCTTGTTCCGACTAGAGAACTTGCTCTACAGGTCAGTCAAATTTGCGTCCAGGTCAGGAAACACATGGGAGGGGCCAAAGTGATGGCAACCACAGGAGGAACCAATTTACGAGATGACATAATTAGGCTTGATGATACAATGCACGTAGTGATTGCTACCCCTAGGAGAATCCTGGATGTTACTAAGAAAAGAGTAGCCCGGGCGTAGTGGCTCACACCTGTAATCCTAGCACTTTGGGAGGCTCAGGTGGGCAGATCACGAGGTCAAGAGATCCAGACCATCTTGGCCCATGTGGCGAAACCCTGTCTCTACTAAAAATACAAAAATTAGCTAGGCTTGGTGGCGTGTGACTGTAGTCCCATTTGCTTAGGAGGCTGAGGCAGCAGAATCACTTGAACCTGGGGAGGCGGAGGTTGCAGTGAGCTGAGATCATACCATTGCACTCCAGCTTGAGCAGCAGAGGGAGACTCCATCTCAAAAGAAGAAGAAGAAGAAAAAAAAAGAGTAGCAAAGGTTGATCATGTCCAGATGATAGTATTGCATGAGCAGGCAGATAAGTTGCTGTCACAGGATTTTGTGCAGATAATGGAGGATATTATTATCATGCTACCTAAAAACAGGAAGATTTTACTACATTCTGCTACTTTCCCTTTTAGTGTACAGAAGTTCATGAATTCCCACTTGCAGAAACCCTATGAGATTAACCTGATGGAGGAACTAACTCTAAAGGGAGTAACCCAGTACTATGCATGTATAACTGAGCTTCAAAAAGTACACTGCCTCAACGCACTTTTCTCCAGGCTTCAGATAAACCAGTCGATCATTTTCTGTAACTCCTCTCAGCAAGTTGAATTGCTAGCCAAGACTTCTCAACTAGGTTATTCTTGCTTCTATATTCATGCTAAAATGAGGCAGGAACATCAAAATCGTGTATTTCATGATTTCCGAAATGGCTTATGATGCGATCTTGTTTACACTGATCTGTTTACCCGAGGTATTGATATACAAGGTGTGAATGTGTTAATAAACTTTGATTTCCCAAAGCTCGCAGAGACCTATCTCCATCGTATTGGAAGATCAGGTCGCTTTGGTCATCCTGGCTTAGCCATCAACTTGATCACATATGATGATCACTTCAACCTGAAAAGTATTGAGGAGCAGCTGGGAACAGAAATTAAACCTATTCCAAGCAATATTGACAAGAGCCTGTGTGTGGCAGAATACCACAGCGAGCCTGTAGAGATGAGAAGCCTTAAAAAGCATGCTTTGACAAACTACAGACGGCTCGTTTGGATCTGTGACACATCGTTTTGAGGGGAATGCTCTTCTCCTTGTGGGTTTTTCATCTTTTATTTTGGAACTATGAAGACTTAAAAGAGCTGAGACATTTTTTCTTTTTTAACTGGTGATGAGAAAAAGGCTGAGAAGAAGGAATATACCTTTTTGGTTCCACTTGTTTGCACTATGTGCTGACTGAACATTAGTTGCACTAACTACTGGTTTTTAAAAAATGTTTTCTGGGGAAATGGGACAAGGAAGGAAAAGAAAGGAGAGAAGGAGAGAAACCCTAAAAAGAGAAGAATCTTGATGAGCACACAAGTTTGTCTATGATTTCAAAATTCTCCAACAGCTGACTCTCAAGTGCATTTCAACTTCTCCTGATTACTCAACCGTTTTGTAAACCTGAAGAGCTTATTACTTATTTGTGCGAAGTGCCTTATGCTGTGAGACCATTCAGAATATCATCTTTCAGACCTAGCCCAAGGAATCAACAATAGTAACTCTTTCCTTTTTTCTTTTTCTTTGAAAATATTTTGTCTTTTCATTTTAGTTTCAAGTTGAAGCCTCTTCCCTTTCTACCCAATACTCAAGCCCAGGGCTGGAAGATAAAACTCATTAGTAATTTTAGACACCATTTTTTTTTCTTTATGTGGAGGAGTTGATATACAACTGCAGTTCATCCACACTGTAAATACATGTATTTTAAAAAAACAATCCTGGCTGGGCGCGGTGGCTCACGTCTGTAATCCCAGCACTTTGGGAGGCCAAGGCCGGTGGATTGCCTGACCTTCGGAGTTCACAGCCAGCCTGGGCAACATGGTGAAACCCTGTCTCTACTAAAATGCAAAAAATTAGCCAGGCGTGGCAGCATGCACCTGTAGTCCCAGCTACTTGGGGAGGCTGAGGCAGGAGAATTGCTTGAACCTGGGAGGCGGAGGTTGCAGTGAGTGCAGATTGCACCACTGTACTCCAGCCTGGGCAACGACTGAGACTCCATCTCAAAAAAAAAAAAAAAAAAAAAAATCCCAAGTAAAAAGTTCTTCTGGGCTGAGTAGATAAAACATCATCACTCCCAAAGCAAAGAGCAGTCTATCATTGCAGGAGCCATATGACAAGACTTTGTGCTCTACAGCAGACACTAAAGACTGGTATACACACGCCTCCCATAGCAGTATGGCGCTTGATGTGTAGACATGTCAGAGCCTTGACCCCCTTTCCTCTGTGGCAAAGTGTGTCCTGTAGAAAATTCGGTGTGTATACTTGTATAGACTTCGTAAATAAGTTTTTTTCTTCTGGGGATAGATAGATAGATAGATAGATAGATAGATAGATAGATAGATAGATAGATATTTTGGATGAAGGTTGCTGGGATTAAGGAGATTAGAGTGATTATAGGAACAGCTAAAGATGAGAGGGGCTCAGTGTTATGCAACACAAATTCTAGAAAGTACTTTGGCCTCTTGCTGTAGAGAGCAGATTTCTATGGTACCCTGTGTTAGTAAAGGGCCCCAGAAATCTGGGATGTACTCTTTGCTGCCACACTGTCTCATCTAGTACCTTTGGAGTAGATTTACCAGAGAGAGCAAGGAAGCTTCAAAACATTGATAGTTCAAGATTTTTTTTTTTTTGAGAAGCTCTGATTTTGCTTCTTCCCACTTTCTAAAAGTTTGAGGAATATTTGAAGCTCTGCAAACGGGGTCAAAGATTAATCTGCCTTGCAGTGTGGGAATTCTGTTGAATGGCAGTGTCATTGAGCAATATATATATAAACCGCAGATTTGCATTTCAGAATATTAGCCAGTACCAGCTTTGGTAACGTTAGCAGTTCTGGAGCGTAATTTTCTGTAGATCATTTCCTCTAGTGTGTAAATGTGTTGCCCTCTGCCCACCTTGATACATACTCTTTTGCAGGAATGGGCAACCTGAGAGCTGTTAACTTGTTAACTTTCATGCTACAGAAAGCTGCTTGTCATTCTCTTGCATTGTAATAAGAATTGTTGTCTGTCATTTTGTACTGTAAATTGCTGGTAAATGCTTTACAATCAACAGTGTTGCTTTAAATTGTGCCCCTCCCAACATGCTTGATGTTTGGCCTGATCTCCAGGCAAAAGGAGTGAGATGAATGAAAACCAGTAAACTGTTTTTTTTTTTTTTTTAATGTTTTAGTTCCCTTTTAACCCAGTGTACTAGGTCAATGAGGAGGCATTGGGAAAGGGGTAATAGTAACAATGCTCCTTATTATGAGGGACCAAAAAAGAAAAAAAAATAAGAGTCCAGGCTTTCACCTAGTCCTTAGAGCATCTTTCCATTTAACAATTCCTATTAAAGAGTCAAGCACCAAAACTAGACTGCTGCCTCTACAAGACCGTGTCCAGTAGTGGTATCCCAGATAGTTCAGATGCCACTCCTCATTAGAGGTTTTACTTCAGTAATATTTTCAATTTTGGTACTTGGTTTAATTTTTTAATTTTTTGGTTTTTTGGGTTTTCTTTAGTAGATGTGGGAGAGAGGGTGCTTTGCCCCAAAAGGGAGGGTGTCTGCACTAAGAATTTAGAAACACCTTGGAAGCTCATAACCTCATCAGAAACTGCCTTTAGCCACACTCCTGAACTTCTAGATAAGAAACAATGAAATAAGTTATTGGGAATTAAGCCATGTTATTTTAATTTGCTATTTTTTCAACATTCGAGATATCTCTAAATTTGTTATTGTGGAATCATTTTCTTACCAAATACCTTTATCAAAATTATTGGCCTCATGACAGCTGAAATAAGTCAGCTTTTTGGTGAACTTTAGCAGACTTCTGTGGAATTGTAGTTGTAGTTTATATCTCTAAAGATAGTTTTTTAAAACTTCTAAAGAAAATTTACTCTACTTTCTGATCTAAAAACTCATCTTTCAGGTAAAGAGTTAAGTGTCCAAAGGTTGTCACAATTCATGGGGTCAGAGGGAGCTAGACTGGCACCTGGACTCTGCCCCTCCACAGCTGATAGATTACAAGAGAAGTGCATTTAAATTCTCCAGTAGACAATACTGGGCAAGGGAGGGAGTAGGGCTGGGTTATTAAGACACAGGCTGCTGTATTTTAACCATTGGTTGTGGGGGATGGGGTGCCTGGAGAAAACAGTCACTGTTCCCTTTTTGGAAATAAAGGAAAAAAATTATTTTTTGTTCAGTAAAAATGGTAGAGAATTCCAGTATCTCTAGCCACAAGGGACCAGTTCTACTAAGAAGTGAACAGTGGGAACTCAAAATTTCAGAAACATTGGGGAAGGGAAAATTGGCTTTTTGTTAATTGGCAGATGTTCCATTGGCGCTCAGTTTTTGTTGGGATGTGTTATGTTGTATGTACACATATATGGACCAGAGTCTGCTGAATTTATAAGGTTCAAAAATTATGGTAACATCTTGATTTTTGTTAATTTATCTCAATAAAAGCCCAATGGAACTCCAAAAAAAGAGAATAAATATAAATAACATTAGATAATAAACCGACAATAAATGGCACAGCTTTTTTTAGAGTGAAAATATAAAATATTGTATTTTTATTGGTGAAAAAATAAATAAACCAGTAATTTCAATGTTAGTATGAACCTGATTCAGTAAGGCCAGAATATTAAAAAAAAAAAAAAAACACAAAACAATATCAATGTTATTTTGAACAGAAAGATGTATTAGGGAAATAAATTTAAATGGAATAATGAAGTTTACAGTAAAGGGCATAATTTATAATGAATTTATGAGTTCTGATTTTTTATAAATTTGAACAGATGGATCAAAAAATTTTCAACAAACATACTATAAATTATTGGAATAAACAAATATAACAACAAACTGTCTTTATTAGGTCCATTGAATAATAGAGAACATGATAAAATTTAACCAATATAGTTTAAAACATTGGTTTTATGTACATGTCTAGTTATATATTTACACATGAACTATATACATATATACATATGACATTTGGCATGTAAAATTATTTTGTATTTGGTTCAACAAGTACCAATATTATGACTGCATTATCTGTTCATATTGAAATATGAATGTTTAATAATAAAATGTTAACATCATCTCCTTAAAAAAATGCAACCATGTAAAGATAAAGGCAATATCCAAAATAATTATTGCATTAATCAAGGGCTTACATATCCAAAAAGCAAACAGAAAGATAGCAAAGCAGTACTTAGAGGAAATTTATATTATTTTTTAACAAAATAAGTTAAAAAAAATAAGCACTGAAATACTAAAGCTAAAACATAATAAATAAATATTAGTTCCATAGAAAGAAGGAGATAATACAAATAAAGAGGGACAAATTAACTAAAAACTCAAAAGAGAAAAACAGATTTTTAAATCTAGGGAAATAATATTTTAAAATATTTCAATGGGAAAAATTTCAATAAGAATGATCAAAGAAAACTAAGAAATGATAAGTGTTGACATTAGAAAGGAAAAATTAATACAGTCAGAAATATATAGTGTATTTAAACATTTAGAAAATATTGTCAATATCAGTATGCTAATAATTGTAGTGCCTTTATAATTAAACATATTTTAGAAAAATAGAAATATAGATATGTACCTCCCAAAAATATGAATAACTAAATGTTTTCAAGAAACTCAAACCTCTCGAAATGTCACACTCTTTTCTGTTATTGTCTCCCAAATACCAAGTTCTGTGTGTGAGAGTTAATATATCTATTAGAATTTTTATTTGCCTTTGGCTTTTTTTACTCTTTCTCTTTCCGTCATTTAATATTATAACCTATATGCTGCTAGGCTTCTTCTTTTTTGTTATTACTCATCTGAAAATCATGGATATTTTTCCTAAATGTATTATCATCTATTCAATGCATTTTGCCTGTTTCTGTAATGTCCCACATTAGTATACATACTAAAAGCATTTTATGTTAACTTATATTTTGAAATCTGCTGGAATATGAATTTTCTATACCAGGATATCTTATAAATTTCATCTATCTTGTATATTTTTCTCCTTCTACAGTATAATTACACATTCTCAAATATTAAATGTACACAACACTAATGCAGATCAGGAAGAGACGTGATGAATAAGAGTAGAAAGCCTGATGCAAAAAGGTATAAATGTAGGTAACCTTTTTAAATTTGTTAAATAAAACATGTGATAGTCCTTATGAATAAAAATCACTATGGTCATCCCTGGAGAATATCATGTAAGCTAAATAATTCTCTAAGATATAAAAAAGATATGTTTCATAACTTAAATGCTCTCAACAGAGTGATACGAAATAAACCACAAATGCCCACTTACAGGACTTATCTATTATTCTGGTCCAGAAAGCATGACTTTGATGTGGTGAGAAAGGATGTGGGCAGTCATGCAGCATGTCCCAGACCTCAGGAAGTTTTACTCACTTGTGTACTTTTTGTTTTACTGGTAAAGTTTGACTCTGGGAAATTAAAACAAAACAAAACAAAACTACTATTCATACTATTCAAACCCAGTGGCTTACTATAGGCTTTTCTGGGGGAAGAAAGCCATTTCTAATGAGTATTTCACACAAAAATACTTTCCCCATGTATTCATTCAAATTCTAAGACTGAATTTATGATTAAAATTAAAAAAAAAAAAACGCCAAACCCTGTATGACTTTGGTTCCATATACTTGTGGCAGGATAAATTAAAATTACTAAAATCATTTTATCTTTTTATTTAGAAAACATTTTATTAAGAAATTTTGTTCACTTGTTAAATAAAATTTCAGATTTAGTTTAAAAGAGCGAGATACCCAGGATTTTGAAAATGCTTCACTGATGCGAACTGTAAAATAAGACCTCAGCTAGAGTCAGTCATCCGATTGAGACATTTTTCAGAAATATATACATACTATTTTATGGTCATTACATAAGCAGGTTGTTTTATCTTCTATTGCAGCTTCATTTTGCCCTAGGGAACCCAGCTGCCAGAAAATGTGTTATGATTACATGCATGTCAAAAAAGATAGTACACACTTCACTAAAATGTACTCATTCAAAACATTCATTTGGCAACCTCCAGCTGCTCCATATTTAATACAACCTTGAAATTACCTGCTGTATTGGAAATTGAGAGCAAGATTTATTTCAGTGGGAATATACAACTAATTGGATAATACAATTTTCTGTTTATTATTTTAAATTTTAGTAACAAACCACTTTTAGATAGGTTATTTCCTCTAAAAAGGAATTTACTACAGTCAATTAGAATACTGTGATGTAGCCATAGTGATTTAAAACCATGAATAATTACATTTGGAAAAAACAAGACATATATTGATTCTTTCAGTAATACTTTACACATGACTAAAAAAAATTGTTATGAAAGTATAATGAATTTCCTTTTTATTCATTTTTGTTATTTTGACCAATCATTTGTTCATGAGTAAGCTCTAGAAAGCTTTTCTTTTTGTCAAGATGCATTCAAATAATTCCAGAAATCATCATCTAGCCATTAAAAATTTATATAATACATCAACAATAAAATATATCTATTCATTTCAAATCTCTTCTTGACGGTTATGCTAAAAAAGTAAAATATACGGCCGGGCGTGTTGGCTCACACTTGTAATCCCAGCACTTTGGGAGGCCGAGGAGGGCGGATCACCTGAGGTCGGGAGTTTGAGACCAGCCTGACCAACATGGAGAAACCCCGTCTCTATTACAAAAAAAAAAGAAAAAAAAAAATTTAGCTGGGCACGACGGTGGGCGCCTGTAGTCCCAGCTACTAGGGAGGCTGAGGCAAGAGAATCGCTTGAATCCGAGAGGCGGAGTTAGCAGTGAGCCGAGATCGCAAACTTATTTGCACACTGATTAAGCAATTTATGGTTGCAAATTCTCCCAGAACTTTTAGGTAATTTTTCTACATATTTTTAAATGATCACTCCACAGTGGTTTTTTATCAATATTTGTTATCACTATTGGAGAGATCATTTGTCCTTATTCTGCAAAGCTGAATCCTGTATGCCAAATGCCAGCATCCTACACATTAATTTAGGCAATTTTAATACACATTTAAAAAAAGAAAATTATATTTACATCAACATTATACATCTTCCACTATTTCATAAACATATCACATATAAGTAGAAAACTGTCCAATATTCTTCTCTCTAGAAAAAACTGTGAAAGATCTGGACTAAAAATTCAATATCTAGCCTCCTCATAAGTTAATACATTAGCTGAGGAAAGATACTACATTGATTTAGCTTGAACTTTCTTTCCTCTGCCAGGCACTTTAGGGATTAACTATTTTATCATTCGGTCTGGGTTTTCCAATTTTTTCTTTCAATATCATCACACTTCATGGCGATTTGTTGACAGTGGTTTATTCTGAACCACTTTTTGAATTCCCTTTGATTCAACATTTGACTCCCAAGGTTTCTAATACTATTCACCTATCACATACCACTTTGCCCTGATCTGTTCTAATAGGTCCATAAGATAATTTTCAAAGAAATCGGATGTTATTCCCGAAATGGACTTCTGCCTTTCCTATTTGTGAACAGTTAACACGATTCCACATATAAATTCAAAAGCACATTTGGAAATAATATTCTTTTAATTAGATGTTCTGCTTACATGTATGCACCTTCCTGAGCTATTAAAACGTAGAAAATCCGAATCTGAGGCAATAGCATGCAAGTAAATGGTAGCAGAATATAAGTGACATAATATAGTCAAGCAATGGTCATAGTATAATTTAGCCTAGGTATAGCTTGACATCATTTATTTGAATTTTCTAAGTAATTAAAATATTTATTTATTGCTGGATTATTTCATTAAGGGCCCATATTACCACAAATAACATTTGTTTAAAGCATACTCTATGTAAATCCTTGATTAAAGATTTAGAGAAAATAGGATGGCTTTTGTATTTCACAAAAGATCTGATCTAAAGGGATCATAACACATATTCAGAAACAAGTACAAAATATTACCATTGCCAAAATAAAAGATTTACTGAATTATAGCATGGATTTCTGAGATGTCATTCCATGGAGAAATATCTTTGAAGATATAAGTAGAAGCAGGCTCTTTATCAGGGCCATGAAAAATGGATGACATAGAAAATCATATTATGTTATTGTTTTGATGGGATTTAAAGGTCAGTATGGTTCAAAAGTTCATTTGTTTCCTGACTCTATCCTTTAACATGTCCACCATTGTCCCTTCCATCAATTTATTTGAAGATATTTATTTGAATGAATCACAACTTCATACCTACTAAGTCAGCCAACTTTAGCTGTAGAGATTTTGTAATAGAATAGTTTCTGTGGAATCTATCTCTTTGTACACTATATATGTTATTATAAATTTTAATCACGTAATACATACAGAAAGTTTTGAAATGAATGTTTAAATTCTCCAAAGATATACGTTCATGAGGAGAAAAGAGTTATACACATATACATAAACTTACAAACCAATTTACACAAATGTACAATGTAGATGTGTTGCTGAAATGACATATATACTCCCATAGTATTCAGATCATAATTCTTCAGGAACTGTATTACTCACATATTTATAGAGCAAATAAATCCAATCCTTTCATATTTATTTTTAAAATAGATATACAAAATAATAGACTCTATTCTGAATGTTGTCAGATTTCAAGATTTTAATATATTCTGAGCCTAGAAGAAAACTGCATATGAGACTATCCACGCATTATTGTTATTTATAATAGTTGTGATGTCCATATACTTGACATTTAAGTAGATTTATTGCTTATACTTTTTCCCTAAATATTTTAAACAGGAGTATTTAATAATTTGCTAAAACATCATTACTAAGAGTCCCTTAGATGCTATTGAAACTCAAGTCAGTGATTTACTCGGGAGCTCTAACTGGCTCTGATTTTATGAAAGAATCACATTTCTTGAAAAATTCTTCACAGATAAAACTGATGATATATTTACACTATTGGTTTATTTAGAGAAAACTGAATTTTCACATGAAAATTTATGTAAGAGAATATTACATTTAAAATTTATTTTATCTGATTATTTATTTATTTATTTTTTAGACGGAGTCTTACTCAGTCACCCTGGCAGGAGTCCAGTGGTGCGATCTTGGCTCACTGCAACCTCCATCTCCGAGGTTCAAGCAATTATCCTGCCTCAGCCTCCAGAGTAGCTGGGATTACAGGCACCCAACAACATGCCCAGCTAATTTTTGTATTTGTAGTAGAGACGGGGTTTCACCATGTTGGCCAGGCTGGTCTCGAACTCCTGACCTCAAGCGATCCGCCCACCTAGGCCTCCCAAAGTGCTAGGATTACAGCTGTGGGCCACTGTGCCTGGCCTCATCTGATTTTCAATACAATATCTGAAAGATAGACAAGTACATTCATTTTTAACAAAACACGGCAAGTCCTCATGCATGTCTTTGATAGGTTCTTGGAAACTGTGACTTTAAGCAAACAACGTGTAATGAAATCAGTTTTACCACGAGCTAATTGATTTAAACAAAAGGTAAGTTCCTATGGCACATTTCTGATCACAAAACATCAACCATTTTCTAAATGAAGACCAAGATAATTATAATATTAAAAATTAAAATACATGTGATTCATGTATGCACTTAAGAAAGATTAATAAAAACAAGTAAGACAATTATTAACTCCATTATTTCAGTAAGGATCATGGGTGACCAGAGGCTATCCTGGGAATTCAGGGCACAGGTGGGAACCAACAGTGGACAGGATGCCATCTCATTGCAGGGCACACACACACACACACACACACACACTCATTCAGAATGGGACAATGTAGAAATGCCAATGAACCTAATGTGCACAGCTTTGGGATATTGAAGGAAACTTCAGTACCCAGGAAAAACCCCACAGACATGGGGAGGACATGCAAACTTCACACTGACAGTGGCCCCCGCCAGGAACCATTTTTTTTTTCCCTTCATCAGGTTTATAACAAAAGATGGTGAACAAAATGTTATTTGAAGACCTGCTATATTTATTACTTACCTACTCAATAAATAGTATTCTGCTGAACTGGGCTATAAAAATGATTAAACCACAGTCTCTATCTGGGAAGAGTTCAACATAGTCGAAAGTATTTAAAGTGGTTGGGCTGTAGTACAGACTACATAAATTTAGTCTGTATAGTTTGTAAAGTTGAAAAGGCTGAATTTAATATATATTTTGTCTTAAAAAATGTTTTAGGAAATTACAGTCACACTTGGCTTAAATAACAAGAGAGAGAATTTCCTAGAAGAATGTCACGAATCAATTGCTTATTGAAATTCAGTAGATTTTTAACAGCTAGAGATGAAGACTATTTTAAACCCCTATTCTTCTTCACCCTAGATTTAGGAAACATGAGTATAGTAAGCATTTGGCAAAGTCCCCTGATGAAAGTAGGAGCTCAATATTCATTTGCGTTATGAATAAATGAATTGCACCTGTTTAGGATACTTGGCTCTGTTCACCTAGAAGCAAACAAATAAAAAATAATTGAGAAAAACATAGTCAGAAATGTTTATATGTCTGAAAAAAAATACTGTGCATACATTTCTAAGTGAAAGTCTTTAAATTAATTAATTTAATGTTACCTATAAAGGTTAATAAATAAGTCTCTTTCCCAATAGCTATAAGTAATTTAATTTTAACAATTTTCTGTGAGATTTTTTATTGTCTTTAGTAAGCCACATCCATGAAAAGCATATGATTATATTAAGGAAACTGAAATACTACCCCTTTCACCGCATGATAGCCACATTACACCCATGCTGCAAAACACTTAGAGGACACAAATACGCTTTGGAAACTTGGTTTGGAAAACTAAACCAAAGAGTGAAAACGTAGGCTACATATTCAATTAATGCTTACAATAATGAGAGCCTTCAAAATAAGTGTTACTTAAGTATTATTTAAATATTTTATTCTGGCTGGGCGTGGTGGCTCACACCTGTAATCCCAGCACTTTGGGAGGCTGAGGCAGGCAGATCATTAGATGTCAGGAGTTCAAGACCAGCCTGGCCAACATGGTGAAACCCTATCTGTACTAAAAATACAAAAATCAGCTGGGCGTGGTGGCGCACACCTATAATCTCAGCTACTCGGGAGGCTGAGGCAGAAGAATCACTTGAACCTGGAAGGTGGAGGTTGCAGTGAGCTGAGATCGTGCCACTGCACTCCAGCCTGGGCAACAGAGGGAGACTTCATCTCAAAACAAACAAACAAACAAACAAAATATATATATTTGATGATATAACTATGATATCAAAAAAGAATGCTAGTGCAAACATAGGTGTCATATATATATATATATGTATATGTATATATTAGTTTGTTTCTTTTCCAGAGGTAAACAAAAAAAGACAACATTTGGAAACTTTATTAGGAAGAATAACGACTGATAACTACTTAATGTGATGAAATAATGCTGTTCTCAGATGAAAACTTAGATGTACTTTGCAATTTAGTTGCGCTTTGCAAGTTTATATTGGTTATCCCATGAAAAATGTTAAATAAGTATTGAGGAGGCAGGTTATGATGATACTGAAATGCAGGAAAGAGTTCAGGAACACCTGGGCACTGACTGATCAGTATAGGATGTTGTCAGGGTTAAACACCTAATCGACAAGAAGATACCGATGTTTGAAGCAGCTCCGTTAAAGGGACTACACAAATTGTTGGTCGAATTTATCCAGATTGATGATATAACTATGATATCAAAAAAGAATGCTAGTGCAAACATAGATGTCCTAACTTACTGAAGAACTTGATACATTGATTGCCCAATTACTCTACTTGTAATTCCTAACATATATTATGACACTTTATTCTTTTGTAATGTTCCCTCTTTTTAATTTTGATTTCTATAGATTAATGAGGTATATGTGCAGGTTTGTTACATGGCTATATTGCACAGTGGTGAGGTCTGAGCTTTTAGTATACCTATCATCTGAATAGTGAACATTGTATTGAATAGGTAACTCTTCAACCCTCACCTCTCTCTTCCTCTCCTCTTTTAAACTTCCCGGTGTTGATCACTCCACTCTGTATGTCCATGTCTGCCCATTAATTAGCTCCCACTTATAAGTGAGAACATAAAGTATTTGATTTCCTGGTTCTAAGTTATTACACTTAAGATAATCGCCTCCAGCTCCATCCTTGTTTTGGCAAAGGACATGATTTAATTCATTTTTATGGCTGCATAGTGTTCCATGGTGTATATATACCATATTTTCTTTATCCAGTCATCTGTTGATGAGCACTTAGGTTGATTCCATGACTTTGCTATCTTGAATAGTGCTGCAATAAACATACCAGTGCAGTGTCTTTTGATATAACAATTTATTTTCCTTTGGGTAGATACCCAGTAGTGGGATTGCTGGGTGATACTTCATTCTTGATTTACTGCTGGCCAGGCACCCAAACCTTCCATAAAACAATCAAACACTCTGCTCTTTCCCACCTTAGAACTTTGCATAAACTGTGTCATTTTCTTTTTTTCCTTTGATTTTCTTTCTTTATATATATATATATATATATATATATATATATATATATATATATATATTTATTTATTATACTTTAAGTTCTAGGGTACATGTGCACAACGTGCAGGTTTATTACATATGTATACATGTGCCATGTTGGTGTGCTGCACCCATTAACTCGTCATTTACATTAGGTATATCTCCTAATGCCATCCCTCCCCCTTCCCCCCACCCCACAACCGGCCCTGGTGTGTGATGTTCCCCACCCTGTGTCCAAGTGTTCTCATTGTTCAATTCCCAACTATGAGTAAGAACATGCGGTGTTTGGTTTTTTGTCCTTGTGATAGTTTGCTGAGAATGATGGTTTCCAGCTTCATCCATGTCCATACAAAGGACATGACTCATCATTTTTTATGGTTGCATAGTATTCCATGGTGTATATGTGCCACATTTTCTTAATTCAGTCTATCATTGTTGGACATTTGGGTTGGTTCCAAGTCTTTGCTATTGTGATTAGTGCTGCAATAAACATACGTGTGCATGTGTCTTTATAACAGCATGATTTATATTCCTTTGGCTATATACCCAAAAACGGGATGGCTGGGTCAAATGGTATTTCTAGTTCTAGATCCCTGAGGAATTGCCACACTGTCTTCCACAATGGTTGAACTAGTTTACAGTCCCACCAACAGTGTAAAAGCCTTCCTATTTCTCCACATCCTCTCCAGCACCTGTTCTTTTCCTGACTTTTTAATGATCACCATTCTAACTGGTGTGAGATGGTATCTCATTGTGGTTTTGATTTTCATTTCTCTGATGGCCAGTGATGATGAGCATTTTTTCATGTGTCTTTTGGCTGCATAAATGTCTTCTTTTGAGAAGTGTCTGTTCATATCCTTTGCCCACTTTTTGATGGGGTTGTTTGTTTTTTTCTTGTAAATTTGTTTGAGTTCTTTGTAGATTCTGGATATTAGCCCTTTGTCAGATGAGTAGATTGCAAAAATTTTCTCCCATTCTGTAGGTTGCCTTTTCACTCTGATTGTAGTTTCTTTTGCTGTGCAGAAGCTCTTTAGTTTAATTAGATCCCATTTGTCAAATAAGCACTCCTCCTTTCACTATTGATTTGGTGATTGTTCCAATAATAGGCTATATTTTAAATGTTTTATCCTCAAAGGGTTCTTGCTTGAAAACCGTGTTTAAATAGATCATTATATGATTCTATTGCAACATCTGATTAATGTATATTAAATGCTAACATACCATCTTGATACATTATAGATCTGTGTTCCCACCCAAATCTCATGTCAATTGTAATCCCCAGTGTTGGAAGTGGGGCCTGGTGGAAGGTGATTGGATCATGGGGGTGGATTTCCCCCTTGGTGCTGTTCTCATGTTAGTGAGTGAGTTTTCATGAGATCTGGTCATTTAAAAGTGTGTAGCATTTTCTCCACCCTCTTACTCCTGCTACAGCTATGTAAAAGGTTCCTGTTTCCCTTTCCATCTTACGCCATGATTGTAAGTTTCTCAAGGCTTCCCCAGAAGCCAAGCAGAAGCCTTGATGCTTCCTGTACTGCCTGCAGAACCGTGAGCCAATTAAACCTCTTTTGTTTATAAATTACCCCATCTCAAGTATTTGTTTGTAGCAGCATGAGAACAGACTAATACACATATATTACACAGTAAATTATCATTGTCATCGCTAAGGTCTATAAAGTTATCACAAATACAGAATTTGTCAACTAACTTACTTTGCATGTTTGTATGCCCTCTAGAAACTCTGACTGAGTTCAAATAAAGACAAACCCTAATAATGAAGGTTTTAGAGCTTCCAGACAGTAAATTGGTGACACTTTTATGGCCAGAAAGCTTTGGGAGAGATTCAAACTCATTCTTCCCATTTCAGTGGTTTCAAAGCTGCTTATTTCTCAGCTACTATTACGGTAAAGTTGTTGGTTTTCAAGACTATTTTGGATTTGAGAAGAATGATTGGTAATCCAGTAAGTGTAAATATAAAAAAATCACTGCTGTTTCAGAGGTTAAGACTCTTTTTTCTTGGTTAAACACCGCTGGATTCTTGCAAGACTTTGCTAATTGTCAGAAATGTGACAAAGTTGATTCCGATAATTTTTGCCGATATTCTCATCACTTATAGAGTAATGCAGATTTTTATGATCCTTGCATTTCCATACATAAAGTGTTTTCTTGCTTTCAAAATAAGAAAATCTAATGTACACTTCTAAAAGATTTTATTTAACTTGTAAATTAAGAATGGAATCTTGATATGGTAAGTTGGTTCCAAGAACATTGAAGAAAGTTGTACTGTTTATCAGAAAAGTATTCACGTATATTTGTATACACTTTTTTAATATACAGGAATATTTGAATAAGATTTCTAGGTTAGATACAAATCTTGTTAATCTCCTAAAAGGCAATTAAAAAATAAAAACGGAGTAACTGATTTTTGGGTAATCTTTTCCTTGGAAGAATTTTAACTTGCAACAAATTAAGTTTGTAACTTGTAACTTAACTGTACTGCACTGTAAAAAAATAATAAATAGAGGCAAACACATACATGGTCTACTGGAAAATTAAAAATAATTCTTAAATTAGCCTCTTAAACCTCTATATTTTTAGCCTACTATTTGGTCCCTTTTTCTATTTCTTTCCCTCTGTTTTCTGATTCTGAACAAGAGTTAATTTTCCAGTCTCACTAATAATCTTTAGTAGATTCACACTTACATTATGCAACCTAAATTCATTTGGAAGAAGCAATATGCATAAAAAGTATTGGCATTCATACAATAAGATTATATCCTTACTTAATTAAAATCATTTTTAATATATTGTAATAAGTAAAATTTATGACACCATAATGTATGACAAGATTTCCTTATTTATAATTCACTTATAATGTCATTATTATATGAACATTTTTTTAAGTGACAAGAGAAATTTGTTATTTTTTCTTTTTTCTGAGACGGAGTTTCCTCTTGTTGCCCAGGCTGTAGTGCAGTGGTGCAGTCTCGGCTCACTGCAACTTCTGCCTCCTGGGTTTAAGCGATTCTCCTGACTCAGCCTCCTTAGTAGCTTGGAT